>NC_000005.10:88897685-89200716 GCF_000001405.40 Homo sapiens
CTACTCAACACAGTAGTGTTTAATTATAGCAGACAATACATTTTAAAAGGTAAAGTCTATACTTGTGTGCATATGCTCCCTTTCATCTTTTGGGACTTGGGATCACTAAATGTTAGTTTTCCTGTTACTGTAGAGCAGGAGAACTGATCCTCTTCACAAAAGAGGGCTCCTTGTGAGGATGTTAACAGTCTAGCTCAAAGAACCAAAGTGCCTCAGAATCACCCAGGTGCATGTTAAAATCCAGATTCATGGGCCCCACCTCAGGCCCACTTAGCTGCAATCTCAGGAATCTGCATTATAACAGGCTCCTCAGGTGGTTCTTCCATAGCACTTATTTGCATGCTACTCTCTTAAGGTGAGGGGAAGCATAAGATCCACAGGTCCCTCTAATGCCATAATTTTTTTTTCTCTCCGTTTGTTATTCACTCCTGTTCTCTCCACTAATGTTCACAAATTTTGTGGAACTTTTAAAGTCATGAGAACCTTTCAAGATAGTAAGATGAATCTTGATTCAAAATTGTAAACAAGAAAAAAAGACATGCCACAAATATTCTGCCTGTTGAAATTAGAAAACCAGTTAAGCAATATGGAAACCTAATTATCTCAAATTTCTGTACAATTCTTCATCTTTACTTAATTGAGGGATAGCCATTATCTTTTCTTGGATGGAATCGGTTCATTGGGTCCTGATACCTCTGCAAAACCTGTAAAATGGGCTTCAGATCCAGGGACCTCTACCATTGGTGATAAGTGACTCCCAAACATTTTCATCCTTCAGTGACTGCCACCTGCTGTGAGCCTAGACTCCAGGAAAATAGGACTGGCACTGGTCATAGTCACTTGAGGAATGTGGCTTCTCTGTAAAGAGATTTTCAATCAATGCAGATGTTCCTTGTGACCTCAGTAATCACCTCCATCTGCCAAGCAGTCATAAAGGGCCTGCACATCTTTGCCAACCTTGTCAACAGAGTGATCCATATCTTAGGTCTTTAACCTCTTTTGTATTAAGATTTTTTAAAAAATACATTAATCATGTTTTAATTCTGTCCTCATGAACATAAAAATAGCAATAATAAATGATTATTACTATTGCAAAAGTATTGCTTTAGTTTACAAGTTTTCCTTAAAAATATTGAACTCCCCAGCTGTATTTATCCATTCTTTCATTCCATTTATTCATCATACATAACCTAAATACCTATATGTAGCAGACATATTGTACTAGGATTCAGATATTTTTAACACTGTTTCTTGTTCCAACATTTTCCTGACATAAATAAATATATTATCATGCTGGCTTACAGCATTGTGTGTGGAGAATATCTTTCTAAGTTTAAAAATTTTCCTGTCATTCTATAAAATTAAAAATATTAAATGACCATTCAGTACTTTTTTGTCAATTCAGCCTTATAGTGCATACTGAAAAGTTCAAAGCTTCGTGTCATAACATAATTTTGAGAATGAGACTTTTTGTATTATGTTACTAGGGTCCCCAAGTGGAAAAAATAAGGCCTGCTGCTCTGGAGTATATTGCAAAGTGATTTTGTTTTCCCCACTGACTTCACAGGCTAGATAGTGTGTCAGTTTTAATTACTTGGAATGCTTACATGGTGGGCTACTTATAGCAATAGGGATAGGGTGGGGCCCAGTCATTGCAGACAGGAACCCACCAATAATATTCCAGATTCCTTTTGAGACTTCCTCACATGAAACAGAGGAAATATCTTTCATTGGATAACTAAAACTTACTTTCCTATGATTTGTACAAAATGGCCAAAAAGGCCCATCCATTCATTAGCCTCACAGAGGTTAAGTGACTTGTTTCCAGTCACAAAATGACTTTGCAGTGAAACAGAGAGTCTAACTCAAATCTTCCTACTTCTGCTCTGGTGCTCTTTGAAGAACACTCTTTAACTCTAATGAGGAAGCCTCTATGATCCTTCAAAAGCAGATACCGGACAAGTCACTTATTTTCACTAAAACCCCTTTGGGATGCAGGGCAATGATTAAACTTGCCTATCTTTCAAATTGCTAGAAATGGATGCTATTTACTATTTTGCTTGCAATTGATTTGCATACTGTTATTACATATTGTTAAATGGTTTGTTGATTAATGACTAATGTTGATTTGGACTAAATGTAATGGAATAAGCAAATATATTTTCAAATTTAGATATACAATTTAGTTGCTAAATGGTGTTGTTAGTCATAAAAATGTTGATTATTTTAGATCAATCCCTTGCAGGGGAACCCTAGCCACAATTTCCCTCCATATTTTTTCTCAATATTTTAAGCTTTACCCCATCTCTTTTTCTTATTAATTTACATGTCTGGGTTTTAAAGCTAATACTTCTTATAAGCAAGTACTGTTCCAAAGCCCAGGACTAAAATAAATTCTTATAAATTCAGAATGTGGTAGATTTCAACTAAACAGTTTCTTTTCTGGAGATCCAGAAGACAAATATTTGGCTTGAATATTAATATTTTCATGACCTTGACCAGATCAATATATTGCACAAATATTATCAACAAATTATATAAATAGACCATATTTACTAATATAATTAATAATTTTGGAATTAATATAAGATAGTTATATATACACACACATAAGCTAGTCAGTTGTTAAGTCAGTTATATGAACTATATAATGTATTATGCACTTGATATATACATATACTTATGTGTTAGTATATTTTGTATTTTTAATTACTCCCAATCTTAAAAAAAACCCTATATTCCAACTTATATTTTTGATTTCTACATTTATCTTCTAAATATATGTATTACCTTTGATAATTTTTTTATTTCTGCTATTTCATATACATTCATAAATATTTCCAGTTTGGAAATCCATTTAAATGGTAAGACAAATAAAAAACTTTTGTACCATAGATGTTTTAGTACATTTATAGTCTTTGTATTTTTTAGAACTACATTTTAATATGCTGTGATAAAAATGTGTATTTCTCTAACAAGGTATTAAATTTGGTGACTGAAAAGGGTTCTTCAAAGGAATATAATTCACATTAATTTTCCATGTGATCATTGTTACTTATAGTTTACTAGTCAACATGCTTAAAGTCTAATTAGAAAAAAAATCCCTGGATATTAAGTTGGGAAACAGACCCAAGTCTGTATCTACATAAAGGTCACCACCTTGGTGACCTTTGGTAAATTTCATTTTTGTTCTTTGATTTCATTTTCTTTGAAAATGAGAAGCTGAAAGCTTTAAAGCTTTCTTCCCATAACTCCGAAATAGTTTATGAGCTCAAAAGAAAATATGACTAAAAGAAATGTGTGGGCATCATTACCTGGCTGCCCAGTATTTTCATGGACACAGACTTGTAACATATTCTGAAAGTTCCTTTAAGGAAAATAACTCTATAGATATGGACAGCAAGGGAAAAGGGATCAATAAGAAAAAGAAAGGGAAATGAGTTAATGACAAAGGAGGAATGGTAGGCAGTAGAAATGATTCCCCACTTACTTGTTTTTTATCTATAGTCTAGTTATTCCTATTTGAAAACCTACTGGCACCAGGTATTATCAACAGGGATGAGTAATATGTAATTTTTATCTTTACTGGGTTACATTTGGCACATGGACAGTTGACAGCTGTCAGTCAGGTGGCTGGTCAATGAGGAGATACATATAAAGCTGCCAAAATATTTTTGTTGCTTTAAATACTTACAAGTAAACCATTTTAGCTGGAAATTTTGTTGCACTGAAATTAAATAGGCTGATATTTAAAATATAATTAATTGAAGTTAACTACTGGGAGAATCAAGATTTTCCCTATTAATATATAAGGTTAAATAACATGTTTTTCCAAGTGTCTTTCTGAAACAGGAAAACAATTTTTCTCCACTGTAAATAAGCTATCTGTAAGATAGGAAGATAACTTGCAAATAATGTTTAAAATGCATATGTTTTAATGTTAAATATTTAGAGCAGGTGTAAATCAATGCTACTTTAAACTCCAATATTTTATTAAAATAAACCATTCCCATACATTGAGGGAGTTGGCATAGGTTTTTTTGTGACACAATGTTGAAGATTTATTAGAAAGGACAAACATAGCTGCATGGTGGACAAGAATTTACAGCCTCTCATAATGAAAATTTTAAAAAATGGGATTTTAGATTAAGTCTACAATTCAGGCACAGCTAAAATGATAAATTTTAGTTATTTTGAAATATTTGAGCTATATTTAATATTATTTCCAGTAGCTTCATTTATACTTAAATAATTGACAGAGTCATAAACAATAGTTTGGCAGAAGCTTTTGGTTTGCTTATACTTAATGACAATGTAATAATTATAGCCAATGGTAATGCATGTGAAAACTTAACAAATACAATTCTGAAGTTGACATAAGAACACATGTTGTTCAGTTTTGCAGTAACTATCATCTTTAAAAGTAAATATTGTGATTGTTTAGGAATATAGTATTTAACAGACTAGAAAAATAAAAGTAAAATTTTCAAGTGCATGAAATACATACTAATTCTTTAAGAGACTAATGAAGTTATTCTAAAAATTTAGCGACTATAGTTACTCAGGTGTCTGAATCAATATAATGAAACATAATGAAGCATGACAAAATATATATGAAAGTAGCAGCTTGAAATCGCAATAAATACACATATATTTTTAAATGTTTTAATCATTTGAAATATATATGTAACAATTTATAATAAAAAGTATATTTGGGTTTTAATGTTTTAAAATAGGGGTTCATTAAAATGTTTGTGGGTAACGTTATGTTTTTAAAATATTAGCTATTTTGTTTGGGTGGAGTATTTCTGATAATTTTTTAAACCACAAATGTTTCATAATTTTCAACAGCAATTACAACAGTTTAAAAGAGTATGTTAGTTATACATTTGTGGCATATCCATGTCGTCACTGATTTAAAAATCATTTCAGGTACAGTGGTCATTAAAAAAGTCAGACCTTATTTTTTTTCCACTATACAATCATGTGTTAAGGATGTAGATTTAAAGTTATTTATGGGATCATCAGAATAAAACAATTGCCTCATAGTATTAGTAATTTATATTGGTAGGAGTCTTTTCTTTCTTAAGCACCAATTCTACCCCCCACAGCCCAGAAAATTGATTTTATCCATAATAATTTATAGCATTCTTCATCAATGTATACTGTTGTTTCTTTTAAATTCATTAGCCCATGTTGCTTGTGAATATGGAATTTGGTTATTAAAATGGTTTCATATGTTTACTACGTATAGGCTCTAGCTTTGAGCTGCTTACTTGCTTAAATAAATGTTTTCAATTTACTATAATACAACAATTTGTAGAGAAATGCTGTGAAGCATAGTTAAAAGAATGAATCCCTGAAATAGAGTCACTTTTTAAAAATATGTCCTAACATGTGGTCTCATTTTTTCATGTTTTGCATTAATTAAAGTCCTATTCTGAAAAAAATATTTTTGCCTAAACTTTTGAATTAACAAAATAAAAATAAAAAATATATAAATATACGAATTTTGGAAATCAGTGATGTAAAAACATGCTTTAATACCGTCTTGGTTGTTAATTTCAAAGATTTTTCTCAAAAGACGCTCTTTGTAAAGTAATGAGAAAATATTGCCACTTTTAATTATTAAATAATATTTACTACAATACAATTTACTTTTATTTAATTATTAAACATGCAATATATTTTAAATTATTTAATTATACATGCAATGTATGCTTTAAAAATGTATTAAAATAAAGTTAATTGCATGTTCTCTCTAATCATGTTCTTGTAGCATGCACACATTTTAAAAAACCCAGTACATGTAATTTTTGAAAATAGTATGTACCATTACACCTTTTTATTTGGGAGATTTATTAGAAAATAACTTTTTATTCAGAAAAGATTATGACAGAATTAGATAAAAAGGAGACTAAAATGTGTGTTAAATCGTGTAATATTATAAATGTAATTAACTCTTCATCTTCCAAATATTGAAAACAGTAATGAAAGAGACCAATATTTAAAAATAGAATCTTGTTTTAAACCTAAAAAAAAAACCTAAAAAATTGTTATATGGTAACAGCTTTACTTTCACACAAGGCAAACCCACTGTTGAGTGAGTTGGCTCTGATTCCAATGGTCTCATCAACTTTGTGAACACAGGTACCTCAGTGGTGCCTCTTTCAAGACAACAAAATTAACTTTTAGAGATTAAAAAATATATTTTGGCAATTGAAACTCACCAGTGCCTTTCTGCTTCTCCAGGAAGTTGTACCCGTCAGCACCTGCTGAGGGCTTTGTTGTCCAAACCCTGACAGGTAAAAAAATTCCTGCAGAATAAAGCCAGACCAGCTGGCTTTGAAGAGAAACCCCCCAGTTTGGGCTGCGTTTGCCTCCTCTCCTTTTCTATGAAGACCGAGGCTTTGCCCCCTTGATCGTCAAGCCGTGAGATGCGTGATCTCTCTGCACAAGTGTCTGGCAGGCCGAGGTGCACCTGTTTCTGTCACTCTGGAGTAAATTTAGCTGTAAAGGTATCACTGACAACCAGACCTTTGTCAGTGCTGGCAAAAGAACACAGAATTGCTTCCCTCCCCTCCCCCCTCCCGACCCCCTATGCTGCTAGTTCCAATGGAAAATATCCAATCGGAAGTCTATCCAAAAATCATTCCTAAAAAATGAAATTGCTTTCATATGGTATAAAAAAGTAAGTTTCCTCATTTCAAGCAGATTTTAAAATTACATTTCCAAGAATAATCTTGGAACAAGACAAGTTTTCGTTCAATTAATTGTGGCTGGAAACTTTTTAATGGAAACATAGCACATACTTACTTCATTTCAGGTTATTAAATTGTGTTAAGCATAAAAGTTATTTGCCATTCTTTGTTGCAGCTCATTTGTTCTTTTCGATTCTAAGAAATATTAGAAGGTTAAATAACTTATCACATAGGAGAGATTATTCATACTACCAAAATTAGAATGTGTGTAGTTCTGAGGGACTGAATGTCAAAATTGTATGCTCATAGCACTAAAACTATTGGGAATCTAGGATGCCACTGGAACATGTAAAATGGCAGCTAAGGTCTATGGAAACCCTTCATGTTTAGAAACTGGCTAAAGCTTGAGTTCTCTTATCTTTTGGTTAAGGTAAGGACGTTTATCATTTATGTGAATGTTTTAGACTAATTTCTTTATTAGTGGTTTGAGCAATATTCCTTTTGAGGAAAATAGAGAGGCAGGCAATATTCATTAATATGTCTGACATAAATAAAATAGTCAAGATATATAAAGCAGCCCAAGGAGTAACATCCTTAGCCAAAGCATTCTGAGCTTCTGCCTTAATAATTATGATTTCTTAAGTGTTGTTAAAAAGAGTTGTACAGAGTACCTGTTCTACCATATTATTGCTGTTTACAGGAGTTGGGTGTGATGAGAAAAGGAAAGCTGGGTCAAAATAAAAAATGCTTTGTAAAATAAACAAAGTTCCTATTTACTTACTATGTATAAACAGCCACTCACCAAGCCTCGTTTCTCCACAGGGCACCACTTTCAGATAAAAACATAGACCTGAATGGCATCATCCAGTATCCAAGGAAACCATGTAAGTACCTCTCTCACTGTGTACTTCTGTTATTCAGATCTTAAAACCTAGCTGAGTACTGAATAAGTGAGTGTTTTTATTTAATAATTATAAGGGAGGTACTTTTTAGGAGCCTGCTAAAAAGAAACAGGTTCTTTATTGTTATGTGCGTCATAACAAAACTCTCATGTTTTCACCATATTTCATAAAATTATGTGCTTAGTACCACTCTCTCCATCAATTCTCATTCTTAGGTACAAAACAGCTACTCAAAATCCTAATGAATTGGAAGTTTCAAACTTTTCCAAGACCCAAACAATGTTTCAGAGTCCTTGTGCCGGGAGTACTTTCTTAATTGTAGTTAAACTTGTTAAATTTTAAAAATTAAGAAAAAATTCCTTGGAAAATAATGGTTTATTGGTAAACATGTATGGCAATTTATTTGGCTGTAGGCTTGCTTGAAGAGTGAGCAGGTGAGCAAAGAGACAAGATTACATGTTTAAACCAAGAAAAGAATCTTGAAAGTAAGTGTAATGACCAAGATGCAAAAATCTGTTTGGGGAAATTGTTGGGAGGTTGGCACATCATTTTCTTTATCCCCTCCCCACAAACTAATGTACATTTCTGCAGCTAATATCAAAGTTTTAATTCATGTTCAGGAGCTATGAAATCTACTGTGGAAATTTAGTTTCTAAACAACATGCTACTCTGGAGAAAGACATTCCTAAAATATTTGAAATTTCTACTATTTCCGTACTTCGACTTTTTTTTTGTTATTTGTACTATCTCCTTTTAAAATTAAATTATTTTCAATGTGAAATGATTATTCATTATTGTTTATATACGTTTTCACGAAAACACTTAACATTTTCTATATACTCATGTAATTATAGACCTCGTTTTTTACCTTCTAAATTCACTATATGATTTACCTGCTCTTTAAATACAGACATATTACTTTTCATCGAGGGTGGTTTCAGAGTTTTTCATATATATATTTTTTTGCTTTTGTCACTCGTGTGTATTTCTACTTTTCCTCTGCAGCATGACTCCTTGCTAAGCATAAATGGTAGAGATTATCTCACAGTTTCTCTGAAGAATTAGAGAGGTCCTTCATGTTCAATAACTAACTGCAGGAGCATTTCACTTTATCACATAATTATGTCAAATTCTATTGTTTATGCATTTGCATATTTCTGCCTTTTAATATATGTTACCAAACACATCTTTCTGAATTGAGAAAAGTTGTCAGACTAAGGAATTCGCTGGAACTTTGGAAGGGCCTCCTCACCCAATAGGAAGACCTGGCTAGGAATTTAATTTTTTATGTAACTCACAAACTTCACAAGTGTGGAGTTTGAGACCGGAAGTGCTACCAAACTCCACTTTCAGTGGAGTTTGAGGCCAGAAGTGGGATTTCCTTGCTGCATAATAAAAGTGGGCTTTGGCTGAGTAAAATTGGAAGCAGAGAGGGCTTAGAATAGATGTTTATAAAGAAAGAAAATGCTAATTGAAGGGGAAGACCAGGTAATGTTATAATTCACTATTTTGAGAAAATGGAATCTTTTGAATTCATTCTCCTTGTAATACAAGGGAAATGAAAATCTATAGTACAATGCTCATGGCACAATTTTAACTGTTTACATTAAAATATAAATTTTTCCAGAAAAAAAATTTAAATTTGACATATTTAATGAAACCTCCTATAACAAAAGGAAAATTGCTATAGAAATAAATGTGTATATATATATATATATATATATACACACACACACATTTATGTATATATTTGAGATTTTCCATTCATCAGTAGTAACCTCTCTAATGTAGACCAACCTT
This sequence comes from Homo sapiens, assembly GCF_000001405.40. Lineage (NCBI taxonomy): Eukaryota > Metazoa > Chordata > Mammalia > Primates > Hominidae > Homo > Homo sapiens. Next base: position 88,907,089 of record NC_000005.10, read on the forward strand.
GTTTAGTTGAACTTTCTGTGATAATGGACATGTTCCATAGCTGCACCATCCAATATGGTACTCACTAGCCATATGTGGCTATTGAGTACTTGAAACATGGCTAGTGCAACAGGGAAACTTAATTTTGAATTTTATTTACATTTAATTAATTTAAATATAAATAGCCCACATGTAACTAGTGGCTACCACATAAACAACCTAGCTCTGGTCTAGGTCACTTAGAAATGTGGGGAGAGTCAAATATGTATAGATTTGATATCACTATCAGTTATTTCTTATCTGTATCAACTACCATTGACCATTACTGAAATCATTAATGCCTGAAGAAGTATGCTCCAACATTAATTTAGCAGGATTTTGAGAAATACTGTCATGTGATAGGCCAAATTGTAAAGAGTACTATTTTGTTTTCATCAGAAATTAAATACCCTCTTGCAGAGATTTTCTATTTCTTTTGGTATTCTGTCATACAGTATAATTTTTTATGTTTACTTTAATATTTGAATTATTACAGTAGAATTTCTTTATGATACTTTCTCAGAGATGAATGCTTTTCATATGGTCGATAGGAAGACATTATAAAATTACTTTATAAGCCTGGGACAGCAACTTTTAAAATGGCCTTTGTAAACAAGACTACATGAAAAAGATAAATACACTAATGAAAATTCTAACTATGGGGACAAATATTTTTTAAAGTTTAGTTATAATTGGCTGGGTGTCGTGGCTCATGACTGTAATCCCAGAACTTTGGGAGGCCAAGGTGAGCGGATCATCTGAGGTCAGGATTCAAGACCAGCCTGACCAACATGGTGAAACCCTGTCTCTACTAAAAATACAAAATTAGCCGGGCATGGTGGCAGGCGCCTGTAATCCTAGCTACTTGGGAGGCTGAGGCAAGAGAATCGCTTGAACCCGGGAGGTGGAGGTTCCAGTAAGGTGAGACCACACCATTGCACTCCAGCCTGGGCAACAAGAGTGAAACGCCATCTCAAAAAATAAATAAATAAATAAATAAAATAAAAATAAAAAAAGGAAAAAGTTTTCTTACAAGTTCTGCAATGCAACTTGGCAATACAACTTGGCAAATAATTCCAAAAATGTAATCGGCCTCAAAAAGTGCTCCCTAGCCTTGTTTCTCCAAAAGCTGACTCTACTTCCAAAGCACACATCAGAGTTTAAATCTCCCATGACCTTTTCAGGCGTTTAGTGGAAATGATCATTAGGATTTGTGATGATACTTTTATAATAATGCTAGACAGTAATATTATAGATAGGATAATTGTGTATAAAATAATATTGAAAATTTTAAATTTGTATAGATTTTAAAAGTTAGTAAATCCATATCTTGAATGCTGATTATTTGTAGGACATTGAACCTAGAGACTCTGGGAAATATTTTTTTAAATGGGAGACATCCGTCCTTTTAGGAACTCCATTTATTGGACCTGGGCATGTTCTTTTGGAAGGATAGGATTCAGATAAGCGAGAGAGAGGAGACTTCCTTTGGCAGAACCTTGGACAAGCTACTGAGTGTTCCTTCTGCAGCGAAACAATAGGATTCTGGATAAAACATACTTTCTAATGAATTACTTGACTTCAGGAAACTTTTTTAACAACTCTAAAGATCCTTCTTCCTTGCCTCAGAATGAAAAAATTAAAAAGCATGAGGTGAAACTGCTGTTGAAGAGCAATAAACAAACAGGAAAAGTGGGATGGACAATTGAATTGTATGGGTTGTATTTATTTGCAAAGATACTGTTGGAAGTATAGCAGTCACATGCTCTATTAGACTGCTCCTAAACCGAGCCTTATTTGAAAAAAAAAAAACAAGGAGAACCAACAACCACATTTGTAGACCCAGTTTTTTGGTGTCCTTTTTTTTTTTCCTTTTGGTATCTTCAGTTAAGTAGCCAACCACTTTCATATTGTCAGATCTGTTTTCAGGAAGAGGGCCTACTTTTGCTCAGAAACCAGTGTTCTGTGTGGAGAAAACATGGTTCTCCATTGAAGGAATCCCACAAATCTCTGATATCTGCATGTTTGAGAAACTACTTTCATTCAGACACATGGACTGTAACTTCTGAGTCCTTAACCACCACCTCAAATTAGTATGTATTTGTCTACTTTTAAGTGTATTTAACTTTTTGTTATGAAAATTCAGAATATATTAGAAAAGTAGAGGGAAAAGTATAATGAAATTTTGTATAACTATACCTACCTTCAACAGCTATCATCTCATGGGCCAGGTTGTTTCATAATTGTTGTTTCCACTTTCCACTTCCACCTCAAATTATTTTGAAGCGAATCCCAGACATGACATCATTTTATCTGGTAACATTTCAGTCTGTATCTTTAAAAGATAAGATTTTTTTAACTTAAAAATGAACCACATCTAGAAAATTAACCACACTTAAAAAGTCAACATTTTCTTACTATTCTCAAATATACAAAACCAATATTCAAAATTTTCTAGTTGTCTCCTAAAGTTTTGTATTCTTTACTGTTTGAAGCAGGATACAAATAAGGTCCATACACTGTAATTGGTTAATATGTCTCTTCTTTTAATCTATAGGTTTATGTTTATTTTTCTTTGTTTCTTAAGAAACTGGATTGTTTGTGCTGTAGAGCTTTCCATAGTCTGCATTTGCTGATGCTTTCCTGCAGAGTCATTTAATGAGCTCCTCAGCCTTGTTTCTTACCTGTTAATGGGTAGTGAAGACTCTAGAAACTTGATGAAATTCATTTAGGGGATGAGGGGCAAGACTAATGGCTCTTTCTCTTTTTGTGACATTAGCAGGTGTTGTTGATCATTGCCTACATCTATTTATTCCTTAGAGCTTGAAAAATGGCAATATAATTGTCATTTCTGGTTTATTTATTGGGTGGAATGCTTCTATAAAGATAAACTAGTTTGTTAGAGTTTCAATTTATATAAGAAAATCAGGATGGATGCTTTATTCTCTCCCTTTATCAGTTCTTAATATAATGTGTGGTTCCTTAACATCCTCTAAAGTTTACCAATGGTTTAAAAAATTTCATTATGAACATTAATGCACTTCAAGCTATTGCAGTTATCGTACTTATGAATGCCCAGTTTGCCACATCTCTGATTACTCAAAGTTTATCTCAGTTGGTTCCTCTGTGTTTTTGAAAGAACCTCAAGTTTTTGAGAGCTTCCAGGATAATTGGTGTGACAAAATATAACAGGCTCATCTTTAATATTTCCTTTCCCAACCTGGAATCAGGCAATTATCCAAGAAATTTTAGTTCTTTTTTTTTTTTTTTTTTTGACTTGGAACTAGTACTTGAAAACCGTAATCTTAAAATTAGTGAGCTCATTGCTACTGACTTTGTCCTTAATCTAGGCCCTTTCAAAGGAAAGAGCTATAAAAAGTGTGTGTATGTGTGTGTGTGAGAGTGTGCGTGTGTGTGTTTAATTTTAAGATTAAATACATCAGGAGCTCACACTAATACTTCCTATTAATATACAGGCCAACAGGATTTTAATTTAGTCACATAAATCTTGCATCATATCAATGTCCTTTCTTCCCAGCTGACCATCCTACAATCTTAATTCTTAATGATAGTAGCGTACTTATTTGCTTATGCTACAAATACACTTACAACAGGCTCAGAATAATAATACCAAGACTACTACCATCAGTAGTGATGTACACATCCTGTGTACACCCTGTGTACAGCCCCCTTCTTCTCTTTAAAGATGTATGTATTACTGAGGTTTTAAGTCATGTAAAATTGTTTCTTTTGGTGTGATTATGCCACCAGCTAGATATAGATAGATTCACTTGGCTCTTTTTGCTTTCAATTTTTTGGGATTAAAATGTTAGCCAGGAGAGACCAGAGCAGTGCATAGTCTACCTCATTTCTCACTACTGAGGTTCTACCTAATTGCATATGAATTAAGAGATTTTCCATTCTGACTGGTGAGAAAAGGCCTATTTCCAGCCGTAGGAAGGTGCCAGGTACTGTTCCCCGTATAATTATTTCCGATGCTTCTTTCCTCAGCCTTGGGTAGCTTCCTCATGCACATATCCAGATCTCTGAGACTCTCTGCAGATTTCAAGAGATTGTTGTCTGTGCATCTGCTCTCTCCTGAACTCTGTCCTGTAAGCTCTAGCTGCTTTATTATCCCATATCTTTAGCTCTGTTTCCTCAATTCATGGAGTTTGCCTCCCTTGAGTTAGTTGCCCTTCCTGTGCCACTGCTAAGAAACCTTCACGGGCTTAAGCCAGAGCCGTCATAGGATTCACCTCCCTCAGGGATCAACGTCGTTTGTGGTCTGATAGCTCATGTCTTGACAACCATTGTTTCGTATATTTTGTCGGGGTTTATTTTTGGTTGTTTCAGGAAGCAGGGCACATCCAGTCCCTTTCAGTCCATCTTGGCTAGAAATGGAAGTCTCCCCAGTTGTTTCTTAAAAAGGTCAGCTATAGCTTGTTAATCCAAACAGTTTATTAATATGAAGCTCAATATTTAAATTAAATTTAAAAATATTCTGATTGATGTGTGTTTGTTCGTGTGTCAGAAATCTTTCTGAAACACTGCTGTAGTCTTCAAACTACCAGTGCCACTTCAAGACCTCTTCTTGGCCTATTTCCTCCCAACTAGGTTTCCCCCAACAGATGAGTCCTTTTTTATTTTCTGCCACTTAGAGGCAATTTTTTGGTTCACTCATTCATTTCTTTAACAGACATTTTTGATTACCTATTATGTGTCATATGAAGTGTTGAGAATACAATGGTGAATAAAACACCACTCATTCCCTTAAAAATGTTGCAATTTAATTTTCACACAGAAATTTGAACATGAACGTTCACAGCAACTTTATTTGTAATAGCACCAAACTGGAAATGCCCATATGCCCATCAGTGGGTGAATGGTTGGACAGACTGTGATATAAGCATGCTATAGACTACAGCAATAAAGACTAACAAACTGTTATTATGGGTAACAACCTGGATGAACCTCAAGGAAATTGTGCTGAGTGAAAAAAAAAACCTGTCTTAAAAAGATACATTACTGAATGATTTCATTTATACAACCTTCATGAAATAAGATCATTATGGAGAAAGATTAGTGGTAGCCAGGGGTTAGGGAGGGGAAGGGGAGAGGGTGGGGTGTGCATAAAGTGGTAGCACTAGGGAGTCTTATGGTGATAGTACAGTTAAGTGTCTTGATTGTGCTAGTGGTTACTCGAAGCTACACATGTGATACAATGACATAGAGCTATACACACATACACAAACAAAAATAACTGTATGTATAGCTGGTGAAATATCTATGGATTCTATGAAAAGCTCCATGGATTGTACTATTGTCAGTTTCCTGGTTTTAATATTGCAGTTTTGCAAGATGTTAACATTGAGAATGAGGACTGGATGAAGGGTGCACATGACCTTCCCGTCCATTTCTTTGCATTTTTTTTGTGAAATTTTAATTACTTTAAAATAAAAAGTTAAAAAATATCTTGCAATTTTGTGGAGGGTACAAAGAACTAAACAGCCAATTATAATAGCCAATTGTATACTACCTTTCACTGAAAATTTGTATTAATTTTTATTTTCTGAAATAATAACTGGTTGTTCACTAAATCCTTTAAAATTTCTTCTAAGAAGACATTCCAGTGTATGCCAGTAGTATAGTTGACAGAGTATTTCTCTCTCATCTTCTGGTAATTTGTGGTGACTGTGTAGTCCTGATTTTTATTATGGCCATGGTCTTTTTTGTATCCTTTCCTATCTCTGTCTCTATAGCGGAGAAAACCATTAGTTATTTCTTGCACTTATTTTAGCAAAGGGGAAGTAATACATACATATGGGGGAATACCTTGTTCCCACTCCCAAGTCATAAGACAACGTCTCTACTACTCTTGTCTCTTAAAGCTTCCCCATCAGGTCATGCTTCTATTTGCAGGACATGTATTAGCAGTAGTGCACTAGCAAAATAGTTGTGTTGATTCTCCTCTACCCCCACCAAAGTAATGTGCCCTCCTTTTATAACCATACAAGGCAAACATTTTGTAAGAATGAGCATGTATTACTACAAAGCAACAGGAGGCTCATGTTCTCACAACATGTTCAAATGTAAGCACAAAGACCCACTCCAGATTTAAATATCAATGAGTTTTGGAATACACACAGCTTTGGCTCATTTCTGGCCCTATTCTGCCATCAGCATGTATCAGCCAAAGCTTTACTCTGACCCATTTAGAAATAGCCTTTGTACGTGAAGATGAACGCATAGTTGTAGTGGGTTTTTTACATAGTCACTTATTACTATAGCTTATTTTAATTTAGTGACAGATTGTCATATATTTTGAGTTTTCTCAAGTTATAAAAGTTTTTTTTCTTTCTTGGAACTAAATAGAATATATATTATTTCTGATATGTTGAGGGAAATTTATATTGGTTTTGTTCATATTACTAGAAAAGTCACTCAATATGAATTTGTGCTCTTGTGACATTGTGACAACTCAGTTGTCCTAGAATTTTTATTAGGCTGTTTCTAAATTTCACAAATCCATGAATAGGTGAGTTTACAATATATAGACTGGAAGTACTTTATTTTTAAAATTTTTTTCCCCAAAACTCACCCCCTCTTCTCAGTGTCAGGAAAACCTCTTTGGAGTTCTATTGGACTAAGTGTCTGAGTCAGTGCTTATGTGGGTTGCTGGAATATTTACCAGGCAGAAAACATTCTTGAAGTTTTTAATTTGATCTGTCTCCTTGAAATAAATATCACGAAAAGTATATATAGGTACCTTTGGTTTGTGTCCTTTACCTTGAAGAGTATAGCAGCCAATTTGAAATTGCCTAGGTCTACTTTGTGAAATTCACCACTTAGTTCTACCTTTGATCTCATGCTTCTTTTTAAAAAATTGATGAATTCATTGGGTCTTGGGCCTTTTTTTTTTAATTTTGCTTATATAGTCATAATGTACTTTACATTTAACAGGTCATTTATTTTTGATTCAGTCCCAAGACTTTTCCTCATTTTTTGTTGTAGTCAGTTGTGTACTACTTTTCACTTAAAATGTTTATTGATTTTGATTATCTGAAATGAAACCCATTTTTGTGCTAAATCTTTTAAAATCATTCTAAGAAAATAGTCAAGTTTATGTATACTTCACTTAGAATATTTCTGATAATTTGTGGTGACTCTGTGGTCCTGATTTTTATATGGCCATGATCTTTCCTGTGTCCTCGTCTTCTCATATCTCTCTGTATAGCTGAAAAAATTATTAGTTATTCCTTGTTGTTAATTATTTCTTTAAAATGCAGTCATAAGGATTCTCAAAGTTACACAACGTTCCACAAATTCTATACTTTTTCTACAACCTTAATTAAGATTGCACCAGTGCTAAAATGGATATACACAACCATACTATTAAAAATATTACAAGCATTTATGGAGAGGAATAGGAATTAACAGGAAGCAGTACGGTTTCCATAGATTTGGAAAGCCACCGAAGAGGAATTTTTTTTTTTTTTTTTTGGACAGAGTCTCACACTGTCACCCGGGCTGGAGTGCAATGGCGTCATCTTGGCTCACTGCAACCTCCGCCTCCCAGGTTCAAGCAATTCTCCTTGCCTCAGCCTCCCTAGTAGCTGGGATTACAGGCGCCCGCTACCATGCCCAGCTAATTTTTTTTTGTATTTTTAGTAGAGACGGGGTTTCACTATGTTGGCCAGGCTCAGAAGAAGTATTTCTTTTAAAGTTCTTAAAGCGTTGATTTTGAAACAAGAGTTGTATAGGCACCACTATAATCCCTCCAGTTTATAAAGAGAAGGCATTTGCCACATCTTCCTTCCCTCCTCTGCTTCTGCCTGAACAAAAGTGTGCTGAATCTACTCCCACCTGCAGCAAACCTATCAGTCCCTGGACCAAACTCAGCAACAATAGGAAGCATATTTGGAGCCTTTGACTCTCTTTTCCTCATTGGGTACATATAGTGGCCCTGCTACTACTGCTGGGCTCCCGTATTATTGCTCATTCTGAGCTGGAATCTGTGCAGTTCACTAGATCTGGGAGGCCATGATTCCGAATTATATCCTAGGGGCCAGTGTGGCTCTATAGATATGGAAATTGTCCTCTTCTGTCTACACGGGACTAGGCCTCTGCTAAGTTTCCTTGGATCTTTGGATGCTGTCACTATGCCCTAATTCCACTCTGTGGTGTTTCATGAAATAGAATCAGATCTGATGATGGCCACCATCTGCCTGATTTCTAAGTATTCCTGATAGTCTCTGCTACTTCTGCCTGATATGATACCCTATTACTTACAGCTGCTTGCATGACTTCAGTGCTCTTTCTGCCCTTTGAATATGGTGCCTTTCTGTCTTATGGATCTGTGGTTGTCAGTTGTGAATAGTTTCTGCTGTATATTTGTGATCCCAAATGTGTGTCCTGGCTGGTATTGCTAAACATCCCTTGTGCTTCACACCTGTATCAGAGAGATGGGCCTCAGACATAATGAGTCTTTCCAAGCTCTGAAGGGTGGCATCTCACTGATTGCACCATAGTATGAGTCTCATTCACTCTCTTGTTTCTCCATAGCTCTTCTTGGTTCCAAAACGCTATCTTGGTAACTTATGATAATAAAACCATTAAAATAAGGATTAAAACAAAGGCACGTAATAAAAGGGCGTAGGATAAAACTAAACCAGAAAACCAGGACCTCCCTCAAAGATCCTGCAGTTGAATAACTTGAATTTTAGGCTCACCTTTCTGCCAGTTGGAGAAAAAGAGAGGCATAGAAATGATGCCACCTACTATCAGATCAGAGTGGGGCAGGAGATTCCAGTTCGTCAGGAGAAATGTTTATGTTTTTCCTAGCTATGGGGAAGCGTGTGTTGAGTAGCTTATTATTTTTATATCAAATAATCATATTAAAATGCCAGTGCATCCTTCCTTTCTAGCATGATATACTTCAAAAAATTATTCTTCTTCACAATGCCTTTAGACATGCACTAATCCAAGAGAAATATGATGTGAGCCACATATATAATTTTAAATTTCCTAGTATCCACAGTAAAAAGTAAAAAGATATATGTGAAAATAATTTAATAATATATGCATTCTAGTCAATATACCCCCAAATCTTATTATATCAACAGGTGATCGATATAAAACTATGGACGTATTTTACATTATTTAAAAAATAAGTCTTTGGGCTGGGCATGGTGGCTCACGCCTGTAATCCTAGCACTTTGGGAGGCCAAGGCGGGAGGATCACAAGGTCAGGAGATCAAGACCATCCTGGCTAACACAGTAAAACCCCGTCTCTACTAAAAATACAAAAAAAAAAAAAAAATTAGCCAGGCGTGGTGGCACGTGCCTGTAGTCCCAGCTAGTCAGGAGGCTGAGGCAGGGGAATCGCCTGAACCTGGGAGGCGGAGGTTGCAGTGAGCCGAGATTGCGCCACTGCACTCCAGCCTGGGCAACAGAGCGAGACTCTGTCTCAATAAAAATAAAATAAATCTTTGAAGTGCAGTGTGTATTTTACACCAATGGCACAACTCAGTTTGAGAAAGTTACATTTCAAGTACTCAATAGCCACATGTGGTCAGGGGCTACTGTATTGCAGTGTGGCCTTCCACAATGGGGCAAGTGGTGCAACGGTAGGAGGGCACCTCCTGATTGTTAAAATATTCTTGTGATACTTGCAGTCTTGAGATTCCTCAGCTACAATTACCATCAGGAACCTTGAAAGGAAATTTCTTCAGTGTTCTTCATACTGAATGGCCATTAATTCAGAAGTTATAATTTTTTTATGTCACCAAACTAACTTGATGAGATGAACAAACAGATTGCTGTTTTTAAGAAAGTGAGTAACTTACTCTGAAAACCTCTGGACCTTTACTTTCAATGCCTTCATCACTAGTGAATTCACTAATTTATGTAATCAGGGAAATTCTCTTGAACTATTTTTAATGGCACCTACTTCCTTAAGACTTCCATGATTTCACCTGCTTTCTTTCCTGAGGCTTCAAAGGGAATCAGTTTGTAATTTTTCAGTGATATTCATGACTTTGTGCTTGGCATGCAGTTACTTGTTAATTTCTTTTTTAGCTTCTTGTTGAGAACTGAGACTTGTTGGCTGTCCTCCTCCCTTTTAGTGCCTTGCATGGTGTAAAGTGTAGTCAGTAACGTTTGTTGAATGCACATGTATGTACCTTCTCTGATTTAAGGTCTGGAAGGCAGGACGTGGTTTTCTTTTTTAATATATCCTTTCATATATTTTTAGCTGCTAGCATAGTTTGGTTTATTCAGTTGGTGCTTAATAAATTCTTGCCAGCTGGACTCATAACTTATAATTAGCCTCCCAAGTCTTAGTCCGCAACTATGTTCATCAAGTTGTTAAATTACATATTTGAAAAAAAATCACCATTTTCATTTAGAGGAACAAATACAAACAAATATATCTACCAACCTACCTTGCTGGTTCTATGAAACCTAACTGACTCTATGAAAAAAATGAAAAAGTTAACTAAGAGTGTACTACTACTTTTAGTTAAATGCCAATGAGGTATAATATGTAGTTGTCAGAAGAAAAAATATAAGTATTGTTATAGTTCATAAACATTATGATAAAATAATTTAGTTCATGATATTTGAATCATTCAATTCTTTCATTCAACAAACTGAACACCTATTATGATTAACGCATTGTGTTGGGCACAGGGGACAAAAAAAGATAAGTTTGACCCTCAAGTTGCTCACATTTTAGTTGGAAAGTCAGATCATGCCAAAGAATTCTCTAAAACATTTGTAAGTTTAGAGCAAGCTACTAATGGGAGAAAGGCTCAGTGAAGTCTACTTTTTATTATGTTTTCCTTATATGGTGTTGGCTAATAAGTATTTGGGGAATAAATGTGTAGATAGTGGTCTGTTTAAAAGAAGTTACATTATTTGGCATTTATTACATTTTATTTATTTTCTTAATTGATTAATTGCAGTTAAATTACCTTAGCATGCAAGAACAGATTTTACAGATTTTGACGTATGATTAAGCAGCATAAAGCATAACTAATGTGGTTTTAGTGGCATGCTATGTATTAAGGCATGAAATTTAAATACACACTTCATCAAGATTTTTTTGCAGTTACAGTGAATTAGAAAGATTCCGATCTTGGAACTCCCTCCAACTCCTGTGTTAGGGAGAGGCAGGAATTTTATAATTGAGATTATTACAGAAGAGTGTCCTGACATAACTGATTGACTTTAGTGATGTGCCTTGAAAGTTCAAATTCAAGGTGTGCACTTATTTCAGTCAGCTTGTCCTGAATGTTTAAATAAGAAATACTATTTCTGGGTATTCTGAATAACTCGTTGTACATTTATTCCTAATAGTGAGCATTTGGACTAATGATGGATTACTAATGAGCATGTAAATGTACCACCTGATTACATTAATATATGATCTTCCATGACGAGGTCTGAAATGAACATTTCTAATATGTATTTCTTTTCCCCAAATGGCACTGTGGTGTATACTGAGTGGGACTGAGACAAGGGTGTTCTTAAGAGCCACTGATTTAGTCAATTATCAAAAATCACATTATAATAAATGCTGTTCTAAGAATTTTGATTAACCTTTAAATAAATGTTACTTTGGAGAAAAAAAATCTGCCAAATGCATTAATGATAAATTGTGAAGTGGTAGTAATTGCAAGTATGGCTTTATAGATAATATAGTTAATTGATACCACCCTCTCAAGCATATACAGCACATCAGCTGCTATGAGCCTGGGTGATAGTAATGGTGTCTATGGCATTTATGATGCATTGAGGATGACATGAGTAAAATGAAAACTTAGAGCACTCACCAGGGTCATTCTTTCATGGACATCTGATGCCCATGGTCAAGTAAATTTTTAATGACACATAGTCACTACACACCTTTCAGCCTTCTGGAGAGGTAAGTGTACATTGATCTGTCCTAATTAGCCTTGCAGAGTACTTCAGACATCCCTGCAGGAACACTATTATTTAATAAAATAGGAGCTGTTTTTACACAAGCTCAGCACTTGCTCCTTGGATAGCTGTATTGTTTTTTTGCTCTTCTCTCTTTTTTTTAAAACTCATATCTCATGTCTCATGTTCGTCTTTGTCTTTGACAATGTAGTATTAATGCAGCTGCATGAAAAAGTAAGCAAAATTAAGGAATGAGTCTGATTATGAAGGTTCATTGCTATTATAAGAACCCATAGAGCACACATCCATTCCTTCCCTAATGTATAGGGTGCTGACTGCATAAAATTGCTTGGAAAGACATTAAGGATATGCAGGCAATTCTGTTGAGGTATGCAGTGGGATGCTTTTATGTTTGGTGATAAAGGTGGCTCTGGAATATCTGATTTCATAAAAAAAAAAAAAGTTAGCCAGACAGTTTGTACTGGTTGTATACTGGAACATTTATCTAGGGACATCTGTTTTTTTTTCTTTTTTTTTGAGATTTTAATTTTTATCTGGGTTTAGGGTCTATAACAAAGAATCCTGAGTTGCTCATCTTTGGAGCAAATAAAATCTTATTTATAATTCGCTCATAGCGCTTGGTGGTAGAGGAATTTCTAATGTAGATGTTTATTATAATTATGAAGTTAGTTCCAAATGTTATACAGAACAGATGGTGTTAAATCCTATCCTAGGGTTAAAGTCTACAACCAGAACTTCTTATCACTTGGTGGACATGGTTCACTGATTACTGGATGTATAATATTTACTCTTAATAGAATGCAACAAGAATGAATCTTTGTCAAATTCTTGGTCTGACCATTAATGAGACTATCTGTATTTGCCCTTGTGTACAGGGAAACCAGCCATCTCTTTCTGCTGTTTCATGGTCACAGTTGGCTATCAGCTCCACAAGTGTCCTTGTTACCGCTTACCGATACCTATAGTTGCATAATTAGAGATTACAATGCTTGGATTTTTCAAACATCCCTAGAAATGACAATACTTTGATTAAGTCAGGTCATTAGAACTCAGTGTGAATAGGCGGACTAGCTCTTTCTGGAGAACAGATTTTGAGAGTGAAGGGGCAGAGAAATGTGAAGACACCGAGTCACTAGAGAGTGAGAGGGACTTCCTTGTTGGCATGAGGGAGGTAGTGGGGACATGATGAAAGACAGTGAATGAGGAGGTTTAGAACAGCACAGGACAAGTTTTACTTCTTTTTTTAGTTTTCTTTTTAATTTACTTTAAGTTCTGGGATACATGTGCAGAGCGTGCAGGTTTGTTACATAGGTATATATATGCCATGGTGGTTTGCTTCACCCATCAACCCATCATCTAGGTTTTAAGCCCCGCATGCATTAGGTATTTGTCCTAATGCTCTCCCTTCCCTTGCCCCTCACCCCTTGACAAGCCTTGGTGTGTGATGTTTCCCACCCTGTGTCCATGTGTTCTCATTGTTCAATTCCCACTTATGAGTGAGAACATGCAGTGTTTGATTTTCTGTTCCTGGTTTAGTTTGCTGAGAATGATGGCTTCCAGGTTCATCCATGTCCCTGCAAAGGACATGAACTCGTTCTTTTTTATGACTGCATAGTATTCCATGGTGTATATGTGCCACATTTTCTTTATCCAGTCTATCATTAATGGGCATTTGGGTTAGTTTCAAGTCTTTGCTATTGTAAATAGTCAAGCTTTATTTTCTTTACAACATGCAAAACCCTCTAAAAATGTCAGGCTTTCTGAATAGAGTTTTAATCCACCTTTAAAAATTGTGGTTGAAAACAATTTGGTTTCAGTTATATTTGGAAATAAAGTTGATAGTTTCATTGTTATCTGATATTTTAATTAAATTCCCTAGTTCATTTATTCGTGAAACATTTATTGAATCATTATATGTGTTAAATAGTGTGTTAGATGCTGAGGAAAAAGGCGTGCTTCCCATCCATACTGTTTTATCAGTCACTATGCCATTGCCTGCAGGTAACAGAAAACACAAATCCAAATGGCCTCAATAATAAAGATATATGTTGGCTCACTTCACTGAAAGTTCAGAGATGTGGTGGAATCCAGGGTCATTTGAATCCAGTAGTTTGGGCTTCATTTTCCTTCCATTGTTTGCCCTCTCTGTGGACCAGCTTCATCAGTGGCTAATAGCAAGAAAGTTATCAAGTGAAAGGGACTTTTATAGAAGAGCTACAAAAGCTTCCCCAGAAGCTTCAAAGAAACCTCTTCTTGGATTTTATTAGCCCAAGAGATCAGGATTATACAGGCAATTACAGAAATGGTGGATGCAGTTATGTATTGGTTCAGTGAGCATTGAAGAGGGAAGGACATTCACTGCAGACTAGTTAGTGCATTTGGGAGATTAAGGGAAGAATTCCTTGAAGAGGTTCTGTCCACACTGAATCCAAGAGGATGATCAAGACAGAGGTTGGAAGGGCATTGTAGGGAGAGAGGGCATTATATGCAAAGATGCAGAAATGAGAGGGCAACGGTGCGTAAAAGCAGCTACCCTTGCTCACATTCTTTAGGTCTCAGCTACACCTTATCTGCCTTAGGTTTAACAGAGCCTTTATATGGTCTCACAGTTCCCTGTACTTATCCCAGTTTTTTTTTAAGAGATGAGAGCACAGTGATGTGATCATAGCACACTGCAGACTTGAACTCCTGGGCTCATGTGACTTATCCCATCTCACCACACTCCATTGTTACTCATTCAACTCTCTGTTCTCTACTAGACCCTGAAAGGGGTCATGTCTGTGTAATTGTCCTCTATACCTGGTGCCTGGCCCGGTGCCTGGAACATAGTAGATGATAGTAAGTGTTCATGAAATGTGTAAGTGAGTGAGTGGTTTATTATTATTTTAATAGTTGACGGCATTTGGATCTGTTCATTCCTACACTGGTAAGAATGATAGCTTTCATGGCCCTGATTAGATGTCTCATAAAATAGTCATAAAGTGTGGGCATTAAAACTGAGTCTTGTGGATTCTGGATTCTGAGAAGTTTTTGACTCTGATATGACCAAATGTTTTGAATAGAATTTTCTTTAACGTAATTATGTGTTTTCATGCAGTCTGCAATCCCAGAGCTGGAAGAGACCATAACAGTCATCAAAACTCTTATTTGTTGGATGAATCTTTGTGTCTTAAAGGACTGAGTGTTTGCTCACCACATCCTTTGAAAGATTAATCTCATATGCATAAAGCCCCAGGTTAGGTGACTTTCTGGTATTTCTTCTAGTTTTATGATTTTTGTAAATTTAAATTAAATAATTAATAGATTATTTTATCGACATTAGTCAGAAATTAACTTTATGTCTATCCTGTTATATGTGATGTACCAATATAACCAGACCCTGGGAGTTGGGACAAGATTTTGCTAGGTTCCACTACCATGCATTTTCCACTTGAAATTTTAAATTAAGCATCATATATTGAAATGAATTAATGAAAAGATATTTTTGGAGAGAGTTGTATAATAGTACCTGCTGCTCGTTATCATCAGTATTATAATTTGCAAATATAAAACATAACAAATATTGAAAGTCTAAAATGTTTAACTTGAAGAAAAAATATAATAGTGAAAGAAAGTATAATGATGTCACATGATGAAATTCAGTCAGAATTCTATTTGTGATTTTAAGTACAGAATTCTATTTGTGATTTTAAGTACCCTTTGTATCTTTTGTGATTTTAAGTACCTTTTGTGATTTTAAGTAAGTTTTGTGATTTTAAGTACCTTTTTTGATTTTAAGTACCGATTTTTGTTTAAGTACAGCATGTTTGCCTATTGGGCCTTTAAAAATCTCTAAGGCATATCTAAATATTTCCCCATAGTATATCACAAGCCCATGTTAAGCAGTCTTTCTAATCTTTTAAAATTGCTTTACCCTTACAAGTTTGAAGCTTCTTAATTGAATGTATTTCTTACAATGTCATCTAGACAGAAGAGTTATATTGATCAATACTTTATTTTTAGCTCACTTAACTTTCCTCAAGTTAAAGATTATTTTTAAAAATGTAAATCACTCTTTCATTTATTATAAATATATTATTTTCCATTTTGTACCTTACCAGTAATATGCACAAGATATTTCCCATTGGAAAACATTTTTTGAGCAATTCATGGAGGATTACACAGATTATAACCTAAGATTTCTGCTTTGTGGAAGAAATTATGGGGCAATAGAGTCTTGAGAGCTGTAATAAGAATTGCAAAAATACTCCCACTTCATTTTTTAATGTAGTATAATCATCAGGGATAGCATTTTCCTTTATATAAAGAAATGTCATATTCCTATACTAAGTTCTTTATTGTCATTAAGAATTAAATGTTTAAAGATAAGTTGTGATTATTCATTATATGTTAGAAATGGGAAGAACTTTATAATTAACTGGCATCTCAAAGAATTTTATGTTTTCCATGCAATCATCTTACATGATAGGTAGGAGGCACATTTCTTTAATTTAAGGGAACAAAGTAGATGATTGACCTCAGCCATTACAAAGTATGCGTGGTTGGGACATCCCTGGGAAGGAAATGGCAATAATATTTATGGAGAAGGTTTTTTTGAGCGTCTGCTGTTTGAAATAGAATTACGGACTGGAAAAGATCGTTAGAAAATATCTGGTCCATGTTTCTCCTTATGCAGAGAAGGGGACTTGAGCTTCATGAGGTTTAGGGACTTGCCCAGAGCTGTACATGATTAATGAGCCTGCAGAAGAGGTGGGGATACCGATTGTGTCTTCTGCTTCTCAGAGTTATGAACGTGCTTTGCACAATGTCATACTGATCTCTCGGACTCTTCAATCCTGAAGAAACTTAACCGGATGTGAAAAGCACATTCCTTTTGTGTGAATCCGTTTAAAAAGATATTCCATTTGTTTTGCAGTTTTATAACGTGCAGATTTATTGACTTCAGAAAATTAAGGAATTAGTTAAGCTCCCAAAATATTTTTAATAAATTAAATGTGTTCATAATTTAAGCAAACGAATTAGTTTAGGAAACTTATATATCTAAGTTCATCAGAAACCCATGCTCCTCTCATTAAGAAAGCAGGTTGAGACTGTTCCATCAGGCTGTGCATTGTGTTTTTCTTCTCCGAGCGCTCGGGAGATTGGCATTACTCTGCAGTAGTGTCACAGCCCGCAGTCATTTAATGCCTCTTCTTGTGAGGCCAGGATTCCACGCCCAAGTGCATTTAGTAGGTCAGTACAGTAATTTTAAATGTCTTTCTTTCAATCTTTTGCCATCTTCAATTATACCTTTCCACCCTACTATTTGTGTAATTTTCTTCTGTCTGAAGTCTCTTTACTGTTGTTCTCTATTGCACAGCATGACAAATTACCCATCAAGCCATATCTTTTCAGCCCAGAAATGCGCAATAACACGGAGTCATGGCATTATCGCATGTTGTGCACTTTATTTCCTCACAGTTCATTCAAGTGTGTCACTTTATTTTCCTGGCTTCCTTTTGTCATCATGGAGATTAACCATTTTATCCTTCCTAAACTTTAGAAACAATTAGAATTTCATTACAGTGGAAGCTGAGAGTGAATGCTTGCTCAGTACTATATAGAGTATACTTTTCATATTATCAGTGGCAAAATTAAAGTCATGAATCCTGAGTCTTTTTCAAAGGAGAGACTTTAGAGGTTATTATACAGCTGAGTAACCCTGGCTCTGGGCAAGAGAATTATTTGAGGTTGTGGTCACCAAACACATTAACCATAAGAAACCATTTAGTCTGACATCGAGTACCTGATTCTTATATTCTCCTGGGAATTATGAAACTCTCTGGGACCCATGTGTTCTGTACACAAAATCTTTTTCTTCCCTCTTAGCTTCAGCTAAATACCAATAGTATTCAATGAGATACAATAGATATTGCAAGTATGTGCTAGAAAATCAATTGGTATTGATGCTCTAATCAGCAGGGCTGCAGCTGGTATGTAGACACACCACTGGAAATGGTGATTAAGATCATATTCAAAAGCATTAAAAAAAAACTTCAAAACGTTTAGATCACTGTTCAGATAGATTGCTGTTTTGCTGGGATAGTAGATGATTTGGGAAGCCAGTGATACTACTAGATGCTGCTAGATTAATTTATAAGATTTTTAAATAACAATCTATTTTATGTGTTGAATTTATAATATATTTTAATTATATACTTATAGTTTATAGGACAGTTATTGTTGGTAAACAAACAAGCAAAAAGTTCAAAGCTCCTTTGATGCAGCCAACTTACCAGCGTGCCAGATACTGAATATAAGCGAATACACAAGAAAAGGTCAAAAAAGAAAAACAGTGTGGTGACTGTTGAGAACATGGTGAAGAGATTGAGAAGGCAGAGAGAAGAGAGAGAGAGTGACAGAGAGACTGTCGGAGGGGGGAAGAGAAAAGGAGGAAAGGAATGGTAATGAGTTTAAAATGATCAGGAGGAGAAAAGCCAGTAAGAATTATTGTATGTCAAGGATGTTTTCAGAATTTAAAGAAATAGGACAGTGAGTGTATAAGGCAGGGTTCCCTACTCATGAGCAAGTCATTAACTAAAAATACTAGCTAAAAAGTTCTTTCAGAAAAAACTAATAATGAAAAGAGGCTTGAACAAGAAAAGGTGGTTGCATTCATAAAACTATTTTCTAATCTAGATCCATTTTCCTGTCAATACCTTTAAGTTGTACTGAAAATACATCGATTGAAAGTTCAACAATTATATAGTCATTTGTCACTTAACAACAGGGTTACATTCTGAGAAATGCAGTATTAGGTATTTTGATGCTGTGCAAACATCATAAAGTGGACTTACACACACCTTGATGGTACAGCCTACTACACACCCAGGCTGTGTGGTACAGCCTGTTGCTCCTAGGCTATAAGCCTGTACAGCAAGTGACTGTACTGAGTACTGTAGGTAATTGTAACATAATGGTAAATATTTGTGTATCTAAACATATCTAAACATAGAAAAGACACAGTAAAAATACAGTATAAAAGATTTAAAAAAGGTACTTTATTTCCTTACAGTTCATACAAGTGTGCACTTTATTTTCCTGGCTTCCTTTTGTCACCACGGAGATTAACCATTTTATCCTTCCTAAACTTTAGAAACAATTAGAATTTAATTATAGTAGAAGCTGTGCTTCCACTATAATGTGCAGGGCACTTAACCATAAACAGAGCTTGCAGGACTGGAAGTTGCTCTGGGTGAGTCAGTGAGTGAGTGGTGAGTGAATGTGAAGATCTAGGTCATTACTGTACACTACTGTAGACTTTAGAAACACTGTAAACTTAAGCTACTCTACATTTATAAAAAATATTTTTCTTAATAATAAATTAACTTTAGCTTAACAGTAATTTTTTTGCTTTATAAACTTTTTATTTTTTAATTTTTGACTCTTGTGATAGACTTAGCTTAAAACAAGCACATTGTACAGCTGTGCAAAAATATTTTTCTTTATATCCTTATTCTCTACTTTTTGCCTATTAAAATTTGTATTTTTACTTTTAAAATTCTTGTGTTAAAAACTAAGACACAAACACTCACATTAGCCTAGGCTTACACAGGGTCAGGATCATCAATATCACTGTCTTTCATCTCCACATCTGTCCCACTGGAAGGTCTTCAGGGGCAGTAACACGTACAGAGCTGTCATCTCCTACGATAACAGTGCCTTCTTTTGGAATACCTCCTGATGAACCTGTCAGAGGCTGCTTTATAGTTAACTTCTTTTTTATATATAAATAGAAAGGGTACACTCTAAAATAGCAATAAAAATATAGTATAGTAAATATATAAACCAGTAACATATTCATTATCGTTATCAAGTATTATGTACTGTACATAACTGCATGTGCTAGACTTTTATATGACTGGCAGTGCAGTAGGTGTGTTTACACCAGCATCACCACAAACACGTGAGTGATGTGTTGTGCTAACATTACGATAGCTACGATATCACTAGGTGATAAGAATTTTCAGCTCCATTATAATCTTACGAGGCCACCGTTATTATGTGGCTCGTGACTGTACATAGTTTTCCATTCTTAGTATTTTTATAAGTAGGAAATACACTGGATGTTTAAAATAAATTTAGGTACAGAGAGGTCTACATGTCTTTGACACACAGCTAAGCTCTAGTCTAGAATTATCAAAACACAACTGGAAGATGAGAAAAGAACAAAACTATAGAATGTGAGTGTCTTTTAGAAACAGTGACCATCACAGAAAAGGCAGGCTATTGATATTATCCTAAGCTTAGGATTTTATGAAGGCAAGTTGCTATTGAGAGGAGCAAAAATTTGGCACTGGAAGCATTTGACAGTAGATTTTTAAACCATAAAACACAGCACACCTTACCATGTATGATTTTAAATAGCAGTCAGAGGTTTTTTTTTAAGGAAAGTGAGGAAATTCTGGGAAAGAGGAAATAGCAACAAAAATTAAAAACTGCAGAAAACTTACTAATTTTTAAACTACTTTTAAGTGTAGTTTTCTATGTGCTCTTCACAAATTACTCAAAGATGAACCAGGACAGGAATTATTAAAGTCTTTTTAATAGATGGGGAAAATAAGACTCAGTAAAAAAGAGACTTAGCTAAAGTCACATAACCTAGTGGACCAAGTAGTATTAGAACTGAGGTCTCTAGAACTCTGCTGTCCAATATGGCAGTCACTAGCCCCATGGTGCTATTGAGCACTTGAAATGTGCCTAGTTCTGAGATGTGTTGTAAGTGTAATATATGCACTAGATTTCAAATATTTAGTACAAAGAAAAAGGAATGTAAAATATCTAATAAATAGTTTTTATATTGATTACATTATATTATGGATATATTGGGTTAAGTATTACTGAAATTAGTTTCTTCTTTTTATATTTAATTTTTTTTTTTTTTGAGATGGAGTTTCACTCTTGTTACTCAAGCTGGAGTGCAATGGCGTGCTCTCAGCTCACTGCAACCTCTGCCTCCCGGGTTCAAGCGATTCTCCTGCCTCAGCCTCCCGAGTAGCCAGGATTACAGGCACGGGCCACCATTCCCAGCTAATTTTTTGTATTTTTAGTAGAAATGGGGTTTCATCATGTTAACCAGGCTGGTCTCAAACTCCTGGCCTCAGCAGATCTGCCCACCTTGGCCTCCCCAAGTGTGGGGATTACAGGCGTGAGCCACCGTGCCCGGCCTCTATTTACTTTTTAATATGGCTACTAGAAAAGTTGAAATTACTTATGTAGCTTGCATCATACTTCTATTGCTACTATAGGCACCTCATTCAGTATTTTTCCAGAAAAATGAAGAAAAAAAGGAGGGAGAACTGGTTATTATGGAGTTTGAAACAAAATATTAATCCTTCAATTAGAGTGTGTCTCAGTTTTATCTATCATTTTAAAAATTCCATTCCATAAAAAAATCTTTTAGTACCTAATATTTATAAGGGTGGTCCTAAACATTATGTTGAGCATAGCTTTGATCAGAGGGGAAAAGGATCCTAACAGAAGGAGAGAATATCTTTTCTGGGGTTCTTGACAGATATTTACTTGGAAGGAAGCATAAAAAAGAAAGATTCTCTCATTAGACTTTGAAGGATCTCTTTTAAAGGAACAATAATTAGTGTAGATGTGAAGAACCTGAGACTTTCTTGGCTGGGCTAGGATACTGGTGTCAGGCATCCAAGGGTAATTTGGCATGTGCAAGGAGGGGTCATTCATGGTCCATTATATAAGCATGTCCAAGCTAATCCCACCCACATGAAGGAGGACCTTGGCTGAGGACAGATGAATGAAACACATTAAGGAGTAGCTATATGAAAAACACAGCGCAAAGTAAGGATAAGTAGGAATGATGTTGAAAAAGTAATGAACCATGAGATCTCTATAATGGTCTTTTAATAGATGTATTGTTCAATAACACTGCTGTGCACTAGGTTAGTTTTAACTGACTACAACTGATTTCATGAGCTTTATGGCCAATGAGCATCTAGTTCTTAAAGAAAGGAATGAACCTACTGTTGTCACTTAGAACACCCTCTGCTAATTACTGCTACAGATTCGAGTCTTGAAAATATTAATATTTTTACAACAGTTTTCTAAACTTAGAGATCAACAAAGGAAAATTGAACGACTCTAGCAACTCTTCAAGGTTTGAGCCCAAGGAGTAAAACACATTTATGCGATATCTGAAATGAAATTCCACTTTGAAAATTCTAGATCTATTTGAAATCTGTCATTTTAAAATTAATCACTGTTTTCCTTTAATACAGTCTGTGTAAAGAATCCCAATTCACTTCTGAACTGTTCTCCTGCCTTCCCAGATACATGGAAATTCACTACTGTTGCTGACAAACAAAATGCCACAAGATTTGTCATACAAATCACATTATAAGAGGTTCCAAAAACTTGACAACGTTGACAGTTGTTTTCAGCAAATGGCTGCTTTACTCTGTACTGTCAATGTTGATGTCCTTGTGCACATGTAAAAGAGCAATGTGATTAAGGCAAGCTTGTCCACGCTATATCTGAGCCAAGTTTTCCGTCTCCGCGTGGCACTGAAAGATTGCTCAGCTGTTGCAGATAAGGCAGGAATAGCTAGCAGATTTCTGCCATTTAAAAAAAAAAAACATTCTCTGGGCATGCATTTCTGTAGGAATTTACCAACATCTGCTGCTGACCTAAAGTTTTCTATAGAAGTGGCGTATTTAATTTATAGAAGTAATTCACAATGGTATTGGTCAAGACTGATTTCCTTAGGAAATAATGAATTGCATTCACCAGGAAAAGATGGGTTGAAATTTAATAACATTTATAGTCTCTAAATTGTTATTGGAGCTTCAGGCATCATACTTGTTTGGACTATCCTAAATTTATTTTCTGCATGTTCTCTAAATTATATTTCAGCAGAGAAACTTTTTAGAAAAAAGAATAAAGAGCTAAGAGATTTTGATGATTCCACAGAAGGCCTACACTTCACACTTATCTTTTTTTTTATAGGCTCTTTGAAAAATGTTTGATTTTTGGAAGCTAATTTATTCTGGAAGAATTTTGTAGTTAAATTTCAGTGTGATTTAAAATTGTCATATGTGCTATTCTCAAAAGAACATACAAGATTTAGGTATTTCCTATAGTCAAGGTAACTTTTGGTAACCTCGGATTCCTTTTTTTTTTTTGGACATCTGTTTATTTACCATCTTAATGACCATTTTTCATTTTAGAAATTTGTCCTCTGTCTATATCAGTTTTTAATTGTTTCTTTTGAAATATGATGCTCTTCAGGTAAAAATACAAAACTTAAGCTAGTTCTGGCAATTCAAACCAGCCTCGTGGTAATGCATTTGTTATTTGATTCATCTATTCTTATTCTTGGTCACCTTCTAGTACAGCTGCATGCATTAAGTGTCTGACTTGTCTTTGAAAATCTTAAGCCACATTCTTTGGAACAGTTGCTTCAAGTTGGTTGAAATTCTCTGTGGCACTTTTTTCCATTCACAGGAGCCAACAGCCACCATAGCAGACACATAGTTTCCAAGAACTTAGGCATGGTTCATGATTCCTGAATCTCAACAATTTCTTGTAGGAATTGGAATGCCATGTAAGGTGTCAGAAGCCTTTGTGCTTTAAATTATAATTTTAAAAGTATACATTTATACTGTAAAGTTAATTTGGCTTATGTAATTTCAAAATATTTTCATTTTTGTAACTAGCAGAAGAACACAATTTGAAAACCTACTAATAAAAAAATTAATCCAATGTCCATGAGCATGTAATTATCTTAAAATATTAGATAAAAAATTCTTTTAGGAAAAGTTCAGAATGAAAAGAGAGTTGAACTAGAAAAGGTGGTTGCTTTTATAAAACAACTCTTTATTGTCTAATCTAGATTCACATTTTCCTGTGAACACCTTTATGTTGTACTAAAAATACTGCAATTGAATGTTCAAATTTTAAGTCTCAAATTACTGCCTTTCAGATCCATTGAGGCATCTAAAAAATGGGTCAAGGTAACAACGCATAATTTGAAAAGTTAGCAAAAAGTTGCTAGTATAAAAAATGAAAATCTATATAATTGTGATAACCTTTAACTCCTGTCTTATTAACATCGTTCCATTTAACATTTTGGGAAACAAAAATTCTTGTGAAACATTTGCCACAGCTAGCTTCTTTATTTTTACATAGCCAAGGGAGAAAAAAGGAGAAATTTCCCATAGAGTGTTTAGACCCTCTTATTAAGCAACTGATTAAAAAAAATAAGTGGTTTATAAAAAAAGAGTCAGAGTAAATACAGAAAATCAAAATGTATATCAATGGATAAGAGCATGCAGACAGGAGAAACATGGATATGCTTTGATTTTTAGCTGCCAGTTTTCATTTTCACAAATTTTTATTTTGTAAACTTTCCTTAGGGTTATATTGATAATGACATTTTGCTCTTGATAACAGCTTATAGACTGGAAATAAGATAATAATGTACCACTTAGGACATTTGTGAAGTTCTGGTCTTAGCCCTATTTTTAATTTTAATTTTGTTTTTAATTCCAAAAGTTTGTAATCTGTCTAGAGCTCAGATCTTCTCACTACCAATATCTTCCCAAGGTTTTGGTTTAATCAGTTGATAGACAAAGGCAAAGAGTGTGGGGAAAATAAAACCACTATTTGGTTATACAGTTTAAAAAGAAATTTCTTTTCTTGAGTATACCTAATAATCATGTTTTCTAATAAACATTTTGAGTTTACCTCCTGACACAATAGTTTTCAAGAAGTGAGGATAAGTTGTTCTTCGTGGACTCCCAGGAAATATCAGAAATATATTATGTAACTATTAGTTTGGTACAAACATAATTGCTATTTTTGCCATTACTTTCCATGGTAAAAACTGCAATTACGTTTGCACCAACCTAATAGCTCAAATAAATGTACTTCTCTTTATCCTATTATTCTGCAAAATGGTAAAACTCCAATTTGCAAGGTGACTGGATTTACTGGAGAGTGTGAAGGCTTCTCATTTGCTTTTGAACTTTCTCATGATACTGAGAATTTCCTGAGACAAAAGTGATGTTATCAATCATACAAAAAATACTTATATGAAAGTTTTATTGTATATTCCTGGGATGTGCAAGATGAAATCTCTTTTACTGAATATTTCTAGAGTTGGGAAATATTTTACTGGTTGGTTGGTTTCTATATCAATTGGCTATGCTGCAAAGTACTAGTCGGGTTATGGCAATGAAATCAGGTTTAAAATAAATAATCTGTGGACAGGAGAGTCTTTCTCTCCAGTGACCGAATCTCCTAGAATAAGTTCAGGGCCATTCTGCTCTGACTGCATTTTTGGGAAATGGTAATGTGTAAGGACTTGTACAAGAAGTGCAGGTAGAAAGTAAGTACAACAGAAGATTGAAAAATTGAATATTTTATTCTCTTGAAAGGTTATCAGTTATGATTAAGAAGCTACAAGGGCCTGATGTCACCTACAGGATAAAGTCTAGATTTCTCAATGTGGAGCATAAAGACTTCTTGCACTGCCTACTTTTCAGACTCTTCCATACTATTTCTTCATAGCTGTACCAAGTTATGAATTACCACCTACTAATCATGTTATGACCATAGCTGGAATGTCCTCCGTCAGAAAATCATCTCAGTTTTATCTGCCTTAGAAACATGTACTAAATCTTTCAAGATAGGGTTCAAATGACATATCTTTGATGAAATACTCCCTGAACATCCAAGGACATTAGTAGATCTTTCACTTTATCCCTGTTTTTGGCATTTATGCATACTGTGTTATACTGTGTAGTATTTAAAGATATGCTTATCTTCCAAGCTAGACTGTGAGCCTTTTGAGTATAGGGATTATATCGAATCCATTTGTGTATTCCTTGGACCTTGCATAGTGCCTGGTTTATGATAGGGTGCTATGTAAATGTTTGTTAAAGGAGATGTAACTTTGTAGAATATCTGTGCTCCAGCTTCAATCATTATGGAGAGTCCACCTGTCATCAGAATCTCTCGTATCAGGCATGTTGAGAAATCTATTTACAAATGAAATGCTCTTCATGCATATCATTGACATTCAATAGCCCTTACAAGGTTCATTTACCTTAAATGATGCATTTATCTTCTTGTGCAGTTTAGTTTGTGGGGCTAGAATCATTGCTTTTAGCATCACACTTCATATAGAAAAGCTAATTTGGGTACATTGCAATTTATAAAGAAGTAGCAGAACCATATGCCCACCATTTTTATTTAAAAGTATTCCATGCAATTCAGAACTAAAGTTTGTAGAGAAAAAAATTATCAACAAAGCCTAAAATACTAATACCTCATATAAGAAGTGGTCAATTTCAAACATGACACTATAGCTAGGAATCAAGAAATAATGAGAATAGCCTAAAAATGCAAAGGAAAAATAGTTCACAATATCAATAATGGTAAAAGAGCCCTTTATTCTTCTACCTGGACAGAGCCTATTCTTATCCTACCTGTAGTTCTAACAGGCTTTTTTTTGTTTGTTTCTATGTTTTTAGAAGATTAAAGGGGCAAATTACTCAAATTTGCAATCACAGATTACAGATTCAGGCAAATGAAAGAAACAAGACATGATAGCTGATAATATAACTTTGGAAAGTCCAAGAAAATACTATTAAAAATAGATCAAAAGGCTTAGACTGTGGGATTATTTCAGTATAGTTCTACCTAGTCTGGCCTTACCTCCAAATTCTTTCAGACATTTCTTGCCTCTTTCTGTACCCCATCAGACCA
Organism: Homo sapiens; assembly: GCF_000001405.40. Taxonomy (NCBI): domain Eukaryota; kingdom Metazoa; phylum Chordata; class Mammalia; order Primates; family Hominidae; genus Homo; species Homo sapiens. Next base: position 88,933,825 of record NC_000005.10, read on the forward strand.
TTTGTCTGAAGAGAAACCCTTTTGTCTCTCTTCTCTCAAGATTCTTTTCCTGGAATCTGTTCTGTTAAATACATACCATCCTATTTCTCAAACTCTTAGTGTGACCTTTAGAGGTGAGTATACATGAAGATCCAAACACAGGGTAAAAATATGAATTTAGCATTTGGGGACATCGCTAATATCTCCCCGCACACATACACACACATACATTATACATATATATAAAAACTCCTGCTTCTGAATCCCTGGAGCTCTCACTAGTTCACCGTGGAGCTCCCAGACAAGCCCAGTCTTCACCTGCAATGTAGGCACCTCCAATACTTGCCCTGCCAGGCCACTGGGTGTGCCAGGTCTCAGGGCATAGTCATTCCTATCTGGCATCTTCCACTGCTGACAAATTCTGACAACCTGACTATGGAAATTTGAGGTAATAACTTTTAGAAACTCTGGATTTTGTAGCTGGATTATTGGAAATCTTCAAAGAAATTCCCAGACTGACAATGGCTTTGGAAGCTCGAGGAACAGGAAAGATTACCGCAAAAGCTGTAGAATTTTCATAGAAGCATTGTCCTTTAGGCCATGAACTGCAATGGAGACAATTTCCCTTACCCAATGAATGATTCTCCCCTAAAATGCCATATTGTGACTTTCTTTACTTTTGTCACTGGTTGTCATTACCTTCCACAGACAAAATTCTTCAGGGTTGAGCGTGTGTCTCTGTACTGCTCTGCTATCCAAGATAAGAGTATGTCTGGGGCTCCTGCGGCTTTAGTGTGTATAGCATTGCTTTCCTGACTATGAATTTTGAACTACTAGTGTTACCGCTTTCCACTTTGTGATAATTTATTACTCTATTCCATGCTTGTGTTTTAGATCAAGCTCTTATGGTACAATTCAGGCACTTTTATGTGCATTCCTTCTTGCTTAGATAAAATTACAACACATGGCTTCATAAGTAAGATGTGTAGGTTCATGAGGGAAGGCCTGCTTCCCACCATCTCTCTCCTCCATCTCAGTGAATTGGGTAACTGACAAAACTCTGCCATTCATCTTGGTGGCAAACATCATCTCCAAGATCCAGTAATTTCCACTGCCAGGGCTATCGCAACTATGCTGACTATATGGCCATCACTGAGGACCAATTTAAAGCCCTTTGAGAATTAAACATTATTTTCATTATTTGTCAACTGTTTGAAATTATTCTTTTTGCTCTTTGGAGTCTTCAGAGCTTGTAGTCTTCAATGAAAATATCTAAATAATACCTAAATGTTATGATTTCTCCAGCTCTTATTTTATTCCATGAAAATAGGTGATTTTATCACCAATGAGCTCTAAAGTTTCTTTCAGTTCCTCTGATTCTTTATTTTATATTGTTTTTTGTTTAAAACAAGTCTCAGGATGTTTGGTTCTGCTTCTCATTTGAGCAGTGGTGCCAAAGGGATAGCTTATCTCTCTGAGGTCATCAGTTTGGTTGCAGTCTTTATGGGGGGAGCTGATCCCACCAAGATAACCATTTGGTAATTTTTTTTTTTTGGCCTGAGTCTAAGATTTAATTATTTTTGGCTGAGCATATGGCATTGTACATAGATTTTCTTGGCTTTCTTTTTATTGTATTTCTAGATTTTTTACAGACAATGGGAAGCACTGACACCTTTAAGAGGGATGTGTAATACACTCGCTAATGTTTCCTGTTGTGTTTCTGAAAACCTGTGTCAGAAAATATACTGTCTCGAACTGGAAAGATGTGAGATTCTTAATTTTAAAGAGCTCCATTAATATTGGTAGGTATTTTTTTCATGTTAGAGTAACTCAAAATTTCTCTAATGCATGTGACATCTAATATACATTCAGAAAAATGAAAAATCAGTATTTAAGATGTATTTTTGGAAAAAGTTTTTGAAAATAACTCAGCAAAAATGGATTAACTTTATAAAAAATCATTCATTTCACTGGCATGAAGTAAAATGTGTCATAAATAATAGGTACTCTGTTATATCTTTTTATTGATTTAAATAAAAAGGATATAGTTTGAGGAATCAATCCACCAAATAGGTACCTCATACATAGAAATTATGGAACTTGCATCTCTTAAAAATGTAATAGAGTAGAATGGAAAAGAAAAAGAAACTTAACAAATGAATATATTGTGTAAAATTACTGGTAAGACTGGTAAATTCTAATTAATAAAATCTTCACAATGATTTTTCAACAAATGAACATTTACTAAATACCTGTAAAATTGGGGTAGCCAGTATGACTTCTTAAATATTAAAGATCAACTGGCAAAGATATGAGAAAATGTGGGTGCTTTTTTTAATAATATGTATGCTTTAAATAAGTGCACAGAATCAGGCTTGCTATTTTGCAGAGTTAATAGTTTTGTAGGAAAAAACAGTCACAAGAAATGCCCATTGAGGCAAATATTAAAACTCTTAACTGAAATTAAAAATGTTTTTAAGACAAACTCCTTTCTGTGCATCTGCAGCTTTAACTCTTTGGTGAAAGTCAATTATGTGCAAGCATTAACTTTAAAGAAAACTTCTTCAGAGTGTCTGGTGCATAAAGTGAAGTAAAGCTGCATGTTTTCCAGTCTGATGGCAGTAATGCAGGTCCTCTAGAAAGAAAGCAACGAACAAGTTTTCAAGTTTGCCTGCAGTGGCTGAGATGACTCACTCATGTCACAGGGGATAATTTCACTGCAACCATTGAGAATTTTGTTATTTTCTTTCTGGGAGAAGGAATAGATGGGTTTATTTTAAGTACGGGGGCAAAGGGATTGTTAGTGGGAATTCTACACAAAACTACACAAGATGTGAGCTGGACAAGAATCATTCATATCTTAAGATAAGTTACTTCAAAATATGAGTATAATTACTCCTAAAATGTCACTTTGAGTTGCTTTATTTTTTATTTTTATTTTTTGCTTAGCTTTTTTTTTTTTCTTTGAAGGTAAAGGAAACACTTAAAATAATGACTGGGGTTACTGGTATTTATACGCCAAGAGTTGTCCTACAATGCCTCTCTTCATCTTCAAATAAACAGATGACCATATGTAAAATAACCATTATATAGTCTGAGTATTTTAAATCTGGCTTTTATGTTTGAAATGCATCTAATATCACCTACAAAGATCAGCGCTGCTATCCTCAAGCTCCTGCTTTGCTTGAGAGTCCACAAAAGACACAGAAAACTAGGCTGCATCCTGTGCACCTGCCTTCCTGTCAAGAAACTTACCTCAGGCTAATGCATGCAGAGGGACAGGTCAGATTGTGTGAAGGTTCTATGCAAACTGCCCAAGATCACTTGGGGCCCCACTGGCATCACTGAAAGGCATTGCTGGGTTTACGGTCTCCTGAATAGCTCCAACCTGTTGTTGAGAGTCAAGCCACGATGTAGAAAGAATCGCTGCACTTTCCCAGGGCTGCTCCGCAGTGTGAGTGGCCACTAGCTCTCTTTTCCTATGACCCCAGTGCTGTTTGGGTTTGCTCTCCAGAAGAACAGGTAGATACATTTGCAGCTGGCGGGGGCACTGCTTTATTGCCTATTGTGGAATGCGTGCCAAATAAAAACCATCGTGATTTGAAATCGGCAATCTTATATGCTTTTCAGGTTACTCGGATGTTCAAACACACGTAACCAACCATCAATATGAGAAATTCTCCTTTAAGCTGTTAGTGTATTACAGCCTGTGACTTTTCAACTCGGGGAATGATACTCATTTCTCTATCTGTTCCATACAGAACAACTTTTTCTTTATTGCATTTAGAATGGTGTAACTGAAAGGCAATAAGGAAAGGCAATATCATTGAGTGGTTCACATTACGCTGAATTTTATTGTAGTCTGGCATTGTGAGTGAACTTTTGGAATCCTTGAAAGCAGCATAAAGGCAGAGCCTGCTTCTAATGGACTGAAGAAAAATATTCTGACATAATGATAAGTGGGGTGACTTCTAGAAATCATGACTTGAAACATTTCTGAACAAATGCTATTTCAGTTGTCCCAATGCACAGAGTGATATTGAAACAGCCTGCTATAGGCCAGAACCACTAATTTTTTTCCCTAAGGGCAGAACTTCATTTTTAAAGATATAGAATGATCCACAACTCTAAATTCCAGCTAAAATTTCTTTTCTTCCATTCTCCTCCAATTATTCTCCCAAGCTATTACATCAGAGGTATTAGAATTTAGGTGCTATGATCATATTTACTTTAATATGTTTATTTTCCAATTGTAAAATGGACACATAAGAGATTTTTATAATTATCAAATGGCTAATTTTTAAACAATAAGTCTTTTTATTGTCTTCATTCTCTGCTTTTGAAATATATGGAGTTGCATATTCTTAAGTTTTGAATTGTTTTAGAGAACTAGTATAGATGTATTTTTCACCTCCTATGAGAATTTCAGGAGCAGTAATAAAGGGCAAACCAACACAGGGACATCTCCCTGCATATTATGGTTCAAATCAGAAACGAACACTTTTTAAATATGACTGAGAGTCACAGATTTTTACAGGATGTCAGGAAAACAACTTCCCCCTTTATTAATACAAACAGAAACTATTTTTTCCTCTTTCCTCCCCTCTCTACCACTGTCATGTTCCTGTTCTACACTTTTCCCCAACTAACCTCTTCTGTTGTTGTGCCTGGCACATAGTAGGTGCAGAGTAAATATTTGTGTGTGTGAATGAATGAAGGAAGGACGTTCAGGATACAAGAACTTCTTGGTTCACTTGAGTCAGCTGGCTGTTAGTAGTGTGTTCAGTGTATAAACTGGATACGTTGTTGACAACTTTTTTTGCTCTTTGTGTGCATAAGCTAAGAATAAACAGCACTGAAGGGAAGGGAGTGCTTCATTCATCAGGGGATTACACCATCATAAACTTACCAAAGTGTACCACACAGAGCCAGTGATCACAGAAGACAGGCAACCCAGGCCCTGTCATTAAATATAGAAGCCTGTCTTCACTGTTTTTATCCAGACAGACTCTCTGTGTTTTGGAAATTTCCACCACACTTCCTTTTGAGTTGCTCGTTTTCTCAAGATCCCAAGACTATTGCTTTACAAAAGTAGACTTGGTCTGGGAATCGTAAAACGAAGGCTATACATTTCCTCATCCCCCGAAGAATATTCAGTGTTTCTTGCTGACTTTTATGTCCCTGTCTTTCATTTTGTTTTTGTTTTTTGGTTGAGATTTTTTGAGTCTGTCTTCTATGAAAGGTGGTTTCTTCTAAGTGAAAGTACTTAATAATAAGAGAGTGCTCAGTTTGCAGTCAAGACTGCAAGGTGACTAGACACTGACATTCTGTTGTGAGAGTTGAGCTCCATGACTAAACAGCTCCTCTTTCTCTAGACCAAATAAAAGTCTTATCATCTCATGTATGTATCTTTAATCGGACACCAATCATACATGGAACATTAGGGAGAATAGGTAAAGTTATCTTTGGTTTGCCAGAAGTGTTTCACACTCAAAGGCTCAATACTTTCACCTGTGAATCATTTTGTGTGTGTATGTGAGAGGTAGGAATAATCAGGTGACATCTTTGTTTTGGGTTATTTAAAGGATACACCATTTAATCTTTCATACAGTACTGAAAATATTCGTAACAGTTTTCTAGTTTAAAGATACTTTAATATTTAATGTAGTATTTTAATTACATTTTTAAAAATATGTTTTAAAAAGAAAATGTTTAAAAATATTTTTAAAATTTTATTCGATAGCTTTTAATATTACTAATAATGTACTAAAATAAGAAAATGGGTGAGAATGATGGTGAAGCCATAGCAAAGGCAGAGACATGTCCTTTCTGCAAAAGTGACAACAGGGTAAGCAGGCTATGAGGACTCAGCCCTCTGAACAATCTTTGCATCCCTGAATGATCTCTAATGTTCATTAGGCTTGTGTTACAGATGCTTGTTTTCCTCTCTTTCCTGTAAGGCCTTGCAGTAATTTAAAGTAACCAGAATATGTTTCCATTCCTTGTTACCTGAAAAAGTCAAACATACTCATGTTATACAGGTAAAATGGAATGGTACATTATGTGAAAATTATTTGTAAACTGTCAAATTATGTTCAAATATGAGGTAAGATCTGAGAAGCTTAGGATATAAGTTAGTCTCAAAACTTAAATGCTTTTCAAGGGAAAATTTATTTGGTGATTAACTAGAATTTTAGTTGCAATATGTAATCCTTGACTTTTTGAAGTAGCCTAGAGGTGGTCAGGACTTGTAGATTACAATAGTCCTTTACTTACTTGAATATTGATCTGGTAGTACTGAATACTGAATACTGACAATTTAAACTCTTTGGCAGAAAGTGCTCTTATAAAACTTCTAGAAAATTTATTATTTTAAAAATTTTTATTATGTATTTATTGTGCACAACATGATGGGTGTGTTTGTTTGTTTGTTTGTTTTGAGACGGAGTCTTGCTCTGTCACCCAGGCTGAAGTGCAGTGGTGCCATCTCAGCTCACTGCAACCTCCACCACCTGGGTTCAAGCAATTCTCTGCCTCAGCCTCCCGAGTAGCTGGGATTACAGGTGCCTGCCACCACGTCAGGCTAATTTTTGTATTTTTAGTAGAGACGGAGTTTCACCATCTTGCCCAGGCTGGTCTTGAACTCTTTACCTTGTGATCCACCCGCCTCAGCCTCCCAAAGTGCTGGGATTACAGGCATGAGCCACCGTGCCCAGCCCACAACATGATGTTTTGAAGTATACATACACTGTGGGATAGTTAAGTCTAGCTAATTAACAAATGTGTTACCTCACATAGTTATCATTTTTGTACTGAGAACACTTAACATTCACCATCTTCTCATTTTTAAATAATGTAATCTATCGTCATTAACTATAGTCACCATGCTGTACAATAGATCTCTTGAACTTATTTCTCCTATCTAATTGTAATTATATATCCTTTCATCCACAGTCATATTGATGATTATTTAGCATAAATTGTTAACAAAGATCTTTTTCTATTTTAGAACAGATTGGAAGAATGCGAAATGTTATTAGACACAGGCACAGCATAGCAGTAGAAACATCTTAACTGAGAACTTGGAACTGAAAGAGAAAGCAACCAACTTAAAGGGCAGACAAGACACATGGTTATGTAACACAGCAGTGGGTATTCACAGTGATGACACAAGACAAAACAATTACATTTTCATTCTAAAAGTAATTTTTAAGGAGGCAAGGGCATTTATAAAACATTTTAGAAACTATTTAATAAAAATGGTAAAATTAAAGTGTTTGTTTATGTACTCAACAAATATTTATTTGGAAAGTGCATGCCTGGGGGCACATCTCGTTAATGAGGTGATCCTGTGTTTAGAACTGAAGGCAGTCCTCATCCATTCTCTCAAAAGGTGACCTTCTTTGTTCTTCTTATAGCCTCACCACATTTAATTTTCAGAGGTTTTGACATAAATTAAAAACATTCTTTGGTAGATTGTATTGTATGAAAACAATCTTCAAAAGTGTAAGCATTGATATCTGGAATATCTGGGAAAATGTACAATAAAGACATCTCTTCTGGTCTTCCTCTGATGGTAATGTGTTCACTATTATACTGATGATGTAAGCTATGTATGTAAACCTATGCAGGTAAAATTCTGCTAAAGCCAATCCCACTACAAAACAACAACAACAACAAACCCCAAGTGGCATCTGAAGAGCTTGGGAATTCCAGGAATGTGATAAAAATGTTTTTAATAATACACGGAAAAATAATTTAGTGTGTAAATAATATTTTATAGTAAATGCTTCATTTTATTCCTTCCATATAACAACTGTCTTCTGTAATGAAAATACTTACTTGTTTGTTTAGTGTCTAAAGGTTGAGAAGGGAACTAGAATTGGCCTAAGGAGGCCCTCAGCCACCCATCATGTGACAGTATGGCCAGGAGGACTTACTCTCTGCTCTCCTCCTCTTGACATGCCTCAAACACACCAATCATTTGCACTTGGGAAATCAACCCTCACTAGCAAATTACTCCTGCCAACAAAATAACCCAATCAGCATGCAAAACTGGTAGCGAGCTGGGAGAGGGCGATGAGAGTGGTGTTCACATGGCTCCCTCTGTTTCCCTTTCCCCAGGTCTGGGCACACACTGTCAGTCAGTGGCCCCTGACTCAGAAAGAGGTTTGATTTAAACCATTTCATTTTCTGCTCTCAGACTGGGAATTTATTTAATATGAATGTCATCATTATAACAAAACTCAACTGTATTCTAGCAAAAATTTGGCTGATCTATGAAGAATATTGGAAGGAGAATCTGTGAACCCAAAAATACTAGACCACTGCTTATTCAGTTCTGCAATTTTGTCACTTTAATGGACTCTTCAGAGTGCCAAATCACTAGTCCTACTGACTATACAAAAATTGGCCATCAACATGCCTGCCTCCAACAAATTGTTGCTGTTACTTCATGTTATCCACTTTGGGCTTAGAGACTGAAGGCCAAAAAGCATCCAATTTTTATGGTAAAAAAGTGCATCAGGAGGGCAACTACATACAAAGTTACCCTCCCAGTTTGACCCTGTCCTTAAGTTTTTATTGCCTGAACTGGCACCAAAGAAACTCCTTGAAAATAACACATTCCTTGTCCATTCAGTGGTTAATGATGCTTAAAAAAAATCACAGTTTGTGACTGTGACCTAAATTATGCCAGAAGCTGTAAAACCATGGTTTCTTTAAATTCAAATATGACCCACATGCTTTAAAACCACTACACTGACCCTATAGTACTGTTGCTGAGTGTGCGTGTCCTCACATAAACACAGACACACACACACACACACACACACACACACACACACACTCCCCACTTGGCATTAAATGACTCGATAAAAGAAATGGTATTTTTCAGACTTCCATGTTAAAAAAAAGGCTCATGAAAGAGATGTAAGTGAGCTTTAAGCCAAACATTTGTTTGGCTTTGCTGCAGCAGGCTGCAGGAATGTAAACTTTTTTTTTTTTTTCAATGACTTCAGCTCCTAATTTGAAAGCTAGGATTTTTAGGAGTGAGCAAGAGACTATATTTGGCCAAAAAATTCTGCTGGCTTTACTTAGCCAATCTGCACATTCAAAACAATACTTCTTTATCAAAAAAACAATAGTCTGTTTTATTCACAGCACATGTAGAAGTTGGAACATCGACTAAATTCCACTTTCTTCTCTTGCAGTGTGTCTGTAACCAGCTAATGAGCTGCAACAGAGCCTGGCCTTCATTTTCAGCAAATTAAGTTCATCCCTCATAGGAATTGTGGTCTGGCTGTGGCACCGCTCCTAGGTATGGGTGGGATTTGTTTCTTCTAGCAGTTGTAGGTTAGCCACATGGGTACGTGCTGTCGCACCACACAACAAAATTTTCTCTATAATAACCAGTCTAAGTAGGCTTTTACCCCACAAAAGTAGATCCCATTTAATTTACTTTGTGTTTATAGCACTCCCTCTCAAACCGCACCATTGGCACAGACTAATATTTATACAACTTTTTATTTTAAACTATTTATTTGGAGTTGAGACTTCAGTAGCACTCCCTGTCAGATTCATTGAACAAGCTTAAATTCAGGATACTGAAAATGTAAATTGGGAAGAGGGATGTATGTTCTTGGGATTCTTTTCTCCCGTGCATGGACACCCAAACAACTCTCACTGTAGTAAAGGGAGGTTACACATGTGTTGATAACATTTGTATTACTGCTGGTAGGAAATTGAACATTGATGGGTGGTTTTAAAAGCCTGCTTTTGCCTATTGTGTTTCCACATTTCTTTGCCAATATAGTTGGTCAAATTAGTTATGCAAAATGCATCTAAAAACTTCTAATCCAAAAGTGTCAATGTTGTTAAAGATTTCTTTTCATACACAAAGAAATATTACATTGCTCCATTATTTTAATGGAAGTCGTTAGTCAAATACGCTTTTGCCACAGAAAGAAAAGGGAAAAAATTCTTAATTTTGTATCTGACCTCTGCTTTGGGGCCTTACTTTAAGTTACATTTTTCTTAAATAAAGCTTTTCTGTTTTTTAAAGTGAATGACGGGATGTTAACTTTAAATAGACATTTAACCACATAAAGTATAGTGGCAGATGGTTCATTTTTCTACTCAGGGTAGACACTTTATTCAGGTAATGATATTTAATCCTCATTTTCTATGAAATCTGCATGTTGTTCTTAAATCTGATACTATTTTGTGATTTAAAATGAGTGTTGGGTTAACTTTGTTTACAAGTGAAGTATTTATCCCTTTGATTCTCTTTTACTTTCTTCTTTTGGTAAACACCTATCCGTTTCTAAGACCCACTTATATGTTATCTCATCAAGGAAAATTTTCCCATCCTCCCAAAGGAGAACAGAACTCCACTGTAGTGGAATAAGTTTTTTGAGGTATGAACCAATGCTTCTGTCCTCCTAATATTCTTACAACCTCTAACCCGCCTCTGCATTCAGGAAACCAGAATACATTAGGGAGGAGACAGCAAAGGAAAACAAAAGACAATAAAGGAATCGATGTATTTGTTTTGTAACTCAAAGTTAAAGTCCAAATTTAGAAAATAGATTTGAAAGCATAACGGGTCAATTTCTGTTGTGCCTCTGAAGAAGAAAGTTGAGAAAGAACGAAGAGGGCTTAGATGCTGGTGGGTGTCTGCAAAAAAGCCCAGACAATGCCTGGAATAATAAAGAAGCAGAGAACTTCCAGGGAGGAAGGGAACAGTCTCTAAGATGGAGCAGGACCTGGGGAAGTCTTGCTTCTCCACTGAAGAACATGGACCAAGACCAGGGCAGAAGGGATGGCAGCTTCCCCGTAGAGCAGTGAGGACGGATGACGACATGAAGACTGGACTGCTCATTCTCACCTTCCCTTCACAGTCCCTGGCACTTTTTAAGCTCCTTGGAAATTAGAGGCAATCTAGGAGAAAGGGGGATAGAAGCAGACCTTATTTCTGTTACAATGTGAATGGGAGCTTCAAATTGAAGATAAAATGTTATGGAAAAAGTGAAATTATATATATATTTTGCACATCGTAGCTTGGTGGCTTTAGGTTTCTGTGCATCAAAGGAAGGAATTGTGTCTTCCTCATTGTCATACTCTGGTATTGGAGATTGTGCAACATATATAGTAGGTATGCAATAAACAGCTGTTAACAGAATGAATCAATACTTTGTAGAGTATTGCCAACCACTCCAGAGCTTTGATCTGGCTTCTCTGTTGGGTCAGGAAAAAAAAGAAAAAAGGAGTCCTGCTTTATTTGTGCCTGTTGCATGCCAGCTTGGCCTGTTTACTCCTGTGGTTTCCCGCATTCCAAAGCAATGCAACGTTGCTTGAAGTTACACTTGAGCATTTTCTAGAGCATTTCTTCTGTCCATCCTACTTGCAGTGACTCCACTTCAGTTCCTTGTATGCCAGCTGCTGTGATAGCTTGCTGTCACTAAACATCTACATGTGTCCACCCCAGAGGAATTAAGTGGGACCACATTAATGCTAGGGAGCTGGCGGTCTTCCAAAACTGCACTCTGGGTCATTCTGTCTTGTGCTTTGGTAAAGTCTTTTCCCCCATCGCCTTCCAGTGGGGAGAGGGATAGGGTACAGCCTACAAAACAGAAACAGAATGCCCAGTGTGCGGGTGGAATACTTCCTCTTTCCTTCGTGAGTAGAGGAGACCGATTCAGAGGATGTTCCACTTATTCATTCCCTTCTAGTGTAATTTTTGCTCAATATTTTCTCTTTCTGTCACCTATAAACCAGAGGGGATATCCACTGGTATACTGCGTTGTGTGGAACGAGGGGGACTGTTCTGTTTCCTCCTTCAGCTCTTGTGAAGGCACTTGCCATTTCCCTGATGCACCATTTAGACATCAGTGTCCACATCTTGTAAGTCAAACTTGTGTCATCCAAAAGGTTCTCATACACATTCAAATGTTAATAAATGCCAATATCTTGTTCATGACCTTACACATAAATCTGAAATATGTAAGAAAGTGTAAACTACCCTCCTTTTTACCTCCACTCTTCTCTCATATATCAGTTCATATACTGCTTGTTGCAAGTAGCAGAAAACCCAATTCAAACTGACTTAACGGGCATGTAGGGGCCTCATAACTGGAAGGTGGTGTGGTGTAGGTGGCTCTGTTGTGTCAAGAAAACATGGTTGTTTTCTGTCTCTCCACTCTGACATCCAGGGCCTCCTTCACAGTCGCAAGATGACTTCCAGCAGCTGGCACAAGGATTACCTGTTTCTTTTTGTTCATATCCTATAGACACATGGTAACTACTAAGGGACCTTCTTTCTCAGAGCCCTCTGGAAATATGTATATATATACTTATATATATATATATTTTAATATATTATATATAATATATATTTGTGTGTGTGTGTGTGTGTGTGTGTGTGTGTGTGTGTATCTACACATATATATGTTTTTTTGAGACAGTCTTGCTGTGTTGCCCAGGCTGGACTGCAGTGGCACCATCTCGGCTCACTGCAACCTGTGTCTCCTGAGTTCAAAGGATTCTCTTGCCTCTGACTCCTTAGTGGCTGTGATTATAGGCACGTGCCACCACGCCTGGCATATTTTTGTATTTTTATTACAGGCTCAGTTTCGTCATGTTCCTCAGCTGGTCTCGAAGTCCTAGCCTCAAGCGATCCACCTGCCTTGGCCCCCCAAAAGTGCTAGGATTACAGGTGTGAACCACCATGCCTGGCCTGGAAATATATGCTTAAATCTTACCTGCCCAATTTTGAAACACATGTTATACACATGCAATGAGTCACTCTTCTCCTTCTTTATCATTTATCACTTCTACTATCTCTTTGGGTAGTAGATAAAAGGGAATGAGGACACTATAACATATCAAAATGGGCCTGAATGAGACTGCAATGAAGAATATACCTCCAGTTTGCACTCCAGCCCAGGTGACAGTGTGAGACTCAATCTCTCTCTCTCTCTCTCTATATATATATATATATACTTCCAGTGACACGGACTTCAGCTGCTTGCAATTAATCACTCTCAATCAATCAATTGACGCCGATTGGGCTGTGAAAATAGTTGGGTGAAGCTGTGTTCAAGCTCCGACCTTACTGTTTACCAGATGTGTAATCCTGGTCAATTCATCTACCCTTTCAGAAACCTAGTTTTCTTATTAAGATCAAACAAGATATTTGCAAAACCACACCAATAACTTCTGCATTCTCCAAAGGCCAGGCATTATTATTATTGCTTTTTCAAATGAAATCAGAAGATTGATCTTCATTAGGAGTTACTTTCAGATCTACATTTATAGATTTTACAGTGTATCAGTCATTAATTTTCTTAAATATCATGCTAAGAAAATTATTTGTGAAATATTTTTTATTTATAGATGTTATAGTATTACTAATACATGAACCTTAAAAAATAATTAGAATTCTCAGCACATCCTAAGAAAAACTTTTTATTCCATAACTAATTTCTAATTTTTGAAACACGGATGTTAAGTGTAAAGTTAATTGTTTTACAGTTTTGAGTTAATGAACATGAAAAACAATACCTCCCTTTCCATTTGAACTGCCTTAAAACTCAGAGTTGAATTCAGACCTTAGCTGGGGAAAGTTCTATTTTAGATTCTTCTAATAGCTATCTCTTTGCTTTGTTTTATTCATCTTTATTCTCATTTACTTTCAACTGATTCATGCTATCTACGTATTTCAACATTCTGAGTAGCTTCATATTCTTTATGGAAATTACAAAAAGGAAAAAGAAAGATATGAAGGGAGGGAAAAAAGACAGGAGAAAGGAAAGAGTAGAGAGGGTGTTGGAGAAGGAATGACAAACTCTGAGCCAAGCAGTGGCTTGCAAACAAGAAGGAATCGATTGGAGACGGTTGGTGAGAAGGCACTTACAGGTGCCAAAGAGAGAAGAAATAAGATCTGGACTGAAGGTCATGACAGTGAGAAAGGAGATCAGGGGATAAGCTTAAGAACTTTTTCAGGTGAACAACAAAGAAGACTTGGAAACTCAGTGATCAGGGATTGGAAATGATGGTGATGGTAAGTGGAATATCATTGATGCTGAACATTCAAACCTCACTGATGTCAGAAAAGGTATGAAGATGGGGTGGAGCAGGGGACAGAGATAAAAGTGCCAGACATAGTGCTAGCCAATTTACAGAAAGCGCTTAACTTTACATGAATAGTCTTATTTAATTCCCCAAATAACCATTTGAGATATTAGTATTCCTCTTTGCAGATGAGTAAATTTTAAAAGAGCAGGGTTTTTGTTGTTGTTGTTTTTTGAACTGGTAATTCTGACTTATACAGACATGACAAACTCCAAAAGGAAACCCAAGCAGCTATTTGGCTCCCTTAATTAATGAAGTCGCCCAGTATGGATAATTCAGGTAAAAAACAATTACTCCTCTTTCCTCATCAGATATCATGTTGTGATCTTGCATGTGTATAAGAATATGTGTTTGGAGAAGGAATTATTTTTACTGCAGAAAGTTTCTTCTTTGTGTTGGTTATGTAACATTAACTTCACTCATATAGCAACTTGGATGTGCCTGGAAAATAGCTCCATTATTTTGTCTATAACTATTCTGGTTCTCTTATAAATATAGAGTCCTATGCATTTTAAAATTCAGTCCAATCCAATAATTAAAACCATCCCTTTAGGTAATGCTGTCTCTTTTGGAAAACATGCCTAGTCTCCCAGATTTCTCAGCCTTCTGTCCACTTCCAGGCACCCCTTCAAGTTGGTGTCTGGGTGCTTTCACAGTCTAGGAGTGGTAGGGAAGAGCTGGTATTCTTTGGTGCAGAGACCTGTTGATCCTCTGGCTTTTGGGGTGCTGTCCTTCTCTATTGTCTTGCTGGCACTCATAGCTGATCTAGGCACCTTTTATGTTAAGTTGATCAACTCTCCCTCCCCTTGGCTTTGGTTGATGCTACAGAACATCTGTCTCTGCTTTATTCTCAAGTGGCTCCCTGGTGGAAAGCCCAAACTGAGCCTCTGCCATGGAAGCACCTTGCCTGCCAGTTCTCACCTCAGCTGCCTCGTCATTTCCCCTGGGGCTTAGATGCAGGGTTTTGTAGAAATTCCTAGTTTCTATCCAGGCCACATTGAAACTCAGAGGAGTCTAGAAAGCCATTCCTCAAGGTTAAGAGATGAGTTCTCAGCAGGGGCAGCTCCAGAAGGTTGCATTCTAGAGTCAGGTATGGAATTTGGGACTGCTTTTCCCTTGAGCTTCCCAGCACACAACTACTAAGAAAAGAGAAAGCCAGAAAGGGAAATTGAAATGCAGTCTCAGATTGCTTTCCATCCTCTACCATTCTCAGCTCCCAGAAACAGAAGGGATGGGCTTAGTTCTCCTTTAACTTTATACTAAGCCCTTGTATATACAGCAGCAAGCCTCATGACCTAGAGAGTTCATAGGTGGATGGCATCCTCTCTTTATAATGAGAATTCTGATTGAGTCCTCTAGCTTAGTTTTGAAATGTTAAGTAGGTACTGAAAGAATTTAGCAAATCCATTTACTCTCCCCAAAGCCTTGCTTTCAAGCTAAATTCTTATTCTTTCCTGACCTAAAGCAGTAAGTTTTCTGGCTTGGCCTTGAAGATTAGACCAAAAAGAAATGTGATTTAGGGAATGTCATGAAATACACTGGTTATTATTTGCAAAATACTGTTCCTGGTACAGTTACATAAACACAGTTAAAAGTCCAGAAATCTATGTAGCTGAATGTGCGGTTTGCACTTTCTAGCTTCTGGTAAAATTAACATGACAATCACTTTCTAATCAATTTTGTCTAGCAAGTAGAAAAGGTGGAGAGCTAGTTTTATTGTAAGCAAAAGGTTGATAAGAACTTAGTAGATTATATTTAGTATACAGCCTATAAAAAAGAGAAATAATTACAGCCATAGTGACAAAAACAGGCAAACACTTCTTTTATCAACAAATAACGAATTAACAAAAAAGGTGACTTTTACAGTGTAATGTTCCTGAGGAGTTTTTAAACTGCCAGTTTTAGAGATTGTTTTCTAAGTGTTTTGTCAGAAGAAAAAGCTTTAATAATTTTTATTTTTTGAATGCTACAGTGTAGAGTTTTGTTTTATGTGATAGCAAAATAAATTCACTTCTGTTTTACTTTATTTTTTCTCATTCTATTTCACCATCTGTAGTGGGCCTGGTCAGATAGAGGTGAAAATTAAGTTACAGTAACATGAAAAGTATACCTAGAAAATCATGTGAATTCTTTAATGAAGGTTCTGCATTTACTTTACTTGAAGAAATATTTCCTTCGTGGTACAGACTGAAAATCAGAAGTATTGAATTAAATATTTGTAAAAGAATAGTGAATTATCCACTGTTGCATTGCATTATATATCTTAGTCTTGGTATTCTATTCTAATTACAAGGTAAAATTTCTCCCAAATTCCAAGTTTACATTACAAATAAAACACATATAATGGCCACAACTCCTAAAATATTCTCCGAAATTATGGGCACATTTATTCATGTTAACATGAGGTTTGCATTTTAATGTAGAGGATGGCGCTGTGGATTGCTTTTGCGAATAATTTCATTTAAGGACAGTTTGACTTTGTAAGAACAGATAAAACCAAAGCCAATTATGACATGAACTCTTCTCTCCTGTATGCATGGAACAGCATAAATAGAGAAGCTTGTTCTTTACTGCACTTGTCAAATCTTAATGTTTAAAAGTCTTAAAATTCAAATATATATTTATATCAATAAAAATTATACATAATGGATGGAATGCTTGTAGCTGTACTCTTTATTTCCCCCCTTCAATCATTATATGAGTATTTATCACTCATACAAAAGTATACATCTGTAACTTCTTTAGTTTCGTTTCTTGAGAGATACCAGTTCCTCTCTTCTTTCTTATGAACCTAGAAGTGCAGATGTAGTATAATATTCTCATCCATGTAATATTATTACAGGGTTTTTTTTCTGTTGTTTCTGGTGGCTTAATGGCAAAAGTGAAATTTTTAAGATGATTTAAAAATTTCTTCTTCAAGTAGTAATTTAGGCAACACTTCTGAAGTGTAATTTGACTTGAGGAATTTGGTACATATTTGTATAGTGGGCAGAGGCTTATTAAAATTATATTTACATACGATATGAAATGATATGATACTTAGAAATATTTTAATTTCAGGACTATACTTTGTCATGATTTCTGGAAATTTTCATTTTTGGAAAAGGGAATTTTGCTGACTTATGCACACCACAGTAATTATTGCTTTTAATGTAAAATATGGCTTAAACCTGATCTTTCTAGTAACTATACCAGGACACCAGTGATGTTCTTTAACTCTCCTTTGCCCTCTGGAGATAATATACAATTTAGCATCTAAAACTATAATACATCATTGTCAAAATTTTTTTCTTAAATATATGAAAAAGAATACATTTTTCAGATAGTTATGCCTTCACTTTGTAAAGTTTCTTCTTAAAAGCAACACAAAAATGAAAATGTGGAAATGGAAAAGAACTCCTTTTTTAAAACTATTATTCTTTGGTGGGATGGGGGGCTAAGAGGGAATCAGTTAACATGGTTTTTAATTTGTCTCAAGGCATGTGGAAAGAAACTGGCTTTCTAGAATGTACATGGTTGAGTATCGTACAGAAATAAATATCTCCCCCTTGGAATTTAAATTGTATCTAGTAGTACTATTTTTATACCTCTTACTAGGAAACGAAATACCTCTAAATTTAGTGCTTTGGAATTTTATTTCCACTAAAAATTTCTTCAGATATGTGAGCACCATAGTAACAGCTTTGAGAGCTGATTCTTCATTACAGTTCCCCGATAAGAGCTTCACTCAAGACAGTTCCTCTGGGATGACTGAGACTAAAAATCAATTCTGATAACATTGGAACAAATTTAAAGGCCGAAAAAAAAAAAAGAAAATCAGAGAAAGCATGCATGCTGTGGATAAATAGAGCTTCCCTTAAAAATTCTTTTTTCAGACAAAAATCTAAAGTGCATTTTCTCAAAACTTTTTTATTTCTTGTATTATTTTTATACCTAGGTAGGATTTTTCTTGCCTTTGGAAAAAATAAATCTCTTACCAGAGATATGAAAAATTCAGCTGAATTTATTTATGGCCCTAGTAAAGGTCTTTTCATGCTCTACAATGACAATATTTTTACAAAACCTACAGGTAAGTAATATGGGTGTGGAAAGATGAATGCAATGAATCTATTTTAATAAAAAGTTAATAATTCATTATTTTCAAGAAAATCATTGCCTTTAAAAAAACTATGTAGTACACTAGACTGAGCTCTGATCATCTTAAAAAGAAGTCTGTCAAAATAAATCAGGTTGATAACTGATTAGCAGAACGTGTAGTCTGTCATTTTTAAATATGTGCCCAATTTCTTCACATAAATCTTACCTTTAAAATCTTCAAGGGGAAAATTTATTTTGGGCACATTGGCCATGAATATCAGTTGACATTTATACAGCGCATAGAATTTATACTGTGGGTTAGGATGTCGGCCATAATTCTAGACTGATAGTTTGTAAAGGGAAGATTCCATTTTGTACTGTTTATAAAATGTTACTCTGCAGTTCCGTGCTCCAAGACTAACAAAGTCTATCCAAGTATAGTCAAGCACTGCAGTTTAACTTATTGCATTCATTAAACTAGGCTTAGATTGTCCTAATTATATGTTATCAACAATTAAGAAATGGATCACATGCCATAGATTGGCTAAAACATTCTGTATTCTTGGCTGGATGCCAGTGGAGGTGTCAAGTTCCATTCTACCTTGTCATCAGCTGCATCTCTGCTTTTGCAGTACAAGCAGCAGCTGTGCTAGACAAAATAATCTAAATTCTCACGTGTACTTTTCCTTTAGGAAACAGCTCACACTGAATTGCATTTCTAGTGTGAATGGTACTACACCTGAGTGAGTTTGTGCTGAAACGTATTTTATGCAAATAATTTTTAACTGATATAATCTTTCATGACTTTTAAATGTGTTTGTTCTATCAAAATAATGGTCTTACTCTTCATGCTGAAATTATTACCAAATGGATTCTGTGGGCAGCAAAGTACTCTGCTCATTCGGCAATGATTTTCCTATACCTCAAATTACATAATTTTATAGGTGCTCTGTTTCAAAGGAAAACAATCTTTATTGATCCAAGTAGTCAAAATTAATCATGGATCTCTGATCTCAAAACTCCTGGCAAAATCCTTTTATTCAGAACACCCATATGCTAGACGCTCAACACTTCACAAATCCTTGTGGGAGGATGGGTTTTTCAGTCTGATTGTTCAATCTAGTGCAGCTTCTGAAAGTGGAGATTCAGCAAGGCTTTCCCCTGAGCAGAGGCAGGCACAACCAATTTTATGAGTAGCTAAATTTGACCTGGCTTTTGCGTTACATTGTCATCTTTGTTCTTGGTAATGTAAAAATGGGTTTTAGAAGTTGTTCTCCTTTCCATGTGTCTGACAGAGGGAAGATCCTCCCGCAGCAGCAGGTGTGTGTTGCAGCAGGATCTGAGAGTCATGGTGCCAGAGCACCATGCTAAGTAAATAGAACCCAACAGCTGGGTCTCCTTTGCTCCTGGAATAGATCCTGTACTACACAATCATGGAAAGTTAGTCCGCATGAGAGGCAGTGACTTTAAAGTTCACCACAGAATTTACATATGTGTTGACATGCATTTTCAGGTCACCAATTTACTTGGTTATTAAAAGCTTTACTGCATCATATACGAATCAAAGTGGAGGGGTCATGCCAAGTCCTTACTCAGAAGGAGAAGATAATGGAAGAGATGCAGAACACCCAGGCAAGGTCTCTACTTTATATACAGCTTGTCCTAGGCCATTTTGTAATGGCATCTGCTGAGACCACGTCTTACTGGATCATTTAACTTTTCAAATTTTGCTTCACATTCAGAAATCCTTGTGATCCTGTGCAACTCACAGAAATATGACAATAAATTCCTTCACCAAAACTAACTTCCTGGAAATAATAATTTTCTTTGATTTCACAAAATATATTTTTTCTTTGTCCTTCAGTAGATGATCTATTTAGGGATGCCGGCAAGTGCTCTCAAGAGAAAACGTATTCTGTTTCATCCAGGTAATATATCAACCCCTCTGCTCACAAGCCAGCCAATCAAATACTATAGTCCCATCATTTATATACGTCCTCTCTCTCTCTCTCTCTCTCTCTCTCTCTCTCTCTCTCTCTCTCTCTCTCTGTCTCTCCCTCCCTCCCTCCTCTGTGCTGTCTGCTGTCATCTATCTGCACTTGGGTTAATACTGCACACTGGGCTATAAGAAATGCAATTCTAAATAATCAGTTCTTCTGGCCTTTGGACAACACAATCTTGGTGCAATAATACATTAGTAGTGGATTTGCCCATTTGGGTAATCATTTATCTTGGCATACGGGCAGTGTCTGTCCTTAGTAATTGCTTAGTGACTATATGCTGGCTGAGGACTCTAATTTGACTTGCTTTCTTTTTATATAACCTATTTATCTAGGTGCATCTTTCACTCTGCTTGTGATTTTTGACTTTTGGGGGAGTTTCCCAAGAGATGTTCAGCATTTGGTTGGGGGAAGGTGATTAAAATTCCCTTTCCTCTTCAGATTATTTTTCTTCTTTTTTTGTTGTTGTTAGAAATAACTTTTTTCACTGTGTACTTTTTAATTATCTATTGCCTATCTTCTTATATCTTTATTTACTCTTTTGAAACAGACCGTTTTGCTCTCTTTTGTCAGCGTTTTCTCTCCTCTTACTCTCCTTTATGCTACCATTTAGGTTCATGCTAAATTGCTGGGACAGCTGCTTTCTTTGACCTCCTCTCGACTTTGCTGACCACATCACCAACTGGCAGGGTGTGGTGCCTTAAGACCTTCCAAGAGACTTACTTCCAAATGGAAATAATGGAGTAACATTTTGTATGATAAAACATGAGAGAATTCCAGTAATCTTAAGCATTTTAAGGTACAGCATATTGCTCAAATGATTATTAAAATTCTGAATCTGAAAAGCAGTTGATCTCACATTGAAACTGCTTGTAGAATACCTGATTCAGATAGTGGTCATTGGTTAATAACAGCAACAGAAGGAAGCCCTGGGACCCATCTAGTAGGGAACCCCTCTTCTTCTAGAAAGTAATGCACCAAAGCTATTCTCTGTAGAAGACTGTTTTGTCTTTTCTTAAGAAATGGAAAGGAAATAATTTTTAGATTCCTGTCTATTGTCTTACGACTTTTATAGCTATTGAATTATTTGAACTAAATCCTCTTCTTTTTATTAGCCTCTTCTTTCTCAAACACATATACTTACAACTATACACACATGCTCACAATATAGTGGGCAAAACAGGCTTTTTTGTTGCTCTGTATCATTAGGAGGAAAATTATTTTTTCAGATCATAGGAGTAGAGGTTTGTTTCATTTCAAAATACTTAGAACTAGAACCAAAGTTGAGTGTGTTAGTGCCGAGAAACATTTCTCTTGCTTGAATCAAGAGCCCAGTGCATCATTTTTGCCACTTTCATTCTTCTTTATTTCATCAGCAACCTTCTCTTCAGCTACTATGCAGTAAAAAATGTTTGCAAGTAGTGTCTGGTGCTTCCATGTGGTATGCCCAGCTGCTCAGGGGGAATGCATGGGACAGAGGGAGGCCCTTTTATACTCTGTAGCCGGCAGGACAAATCACTGAAATCCTCTTAGATATTAGAGGGGAATATCGTGAGCTATTCTGAAATCTCAAAAGGACTAACAAAGTTCATTCCATTTGTCATTGAAATGTGACAGTGATGTAGAACAAAACCTTTCCGCAGTGGGGGCTGGCTGCACCGAATTCCTTTTGCAACAAGGAAATTAGGTCAGAAGAAATTTAGGTCAACACCTTACAGAGATGTCCCCATGCCTGAAAGGAGCCAGGAGAACTTAAAACATTCCACACAGAAAGGTTATTGTTTTTATATGTAATTTGAAAAATGGTACCTTCCAAAGCTTAATGTCATATAAATTCAGCTATGATTCAGCAAAGAAAATTACCTTTTGCATCACTAGCACTGCTTCTGATAAATCCAGGCACGATCCTGAGGTGCTTCTAACCAAGCCCAGCCGACCGACCCAGTTTAATCATACAATTCAAGACATATTTATCAAGTCTTGATTATGTACAATTAAACTATTAGATAATGTAAAGGTTGTAAATATTAATAAGTACCTCCTCCCACTAACCCCATCTTTACCATTAGGAAGTTATAAGCTAAGGAGGAGGAGAAGATTATGGGGTAAATTAAAATGCAATATAGCCTATAAGTCATTGATTCACTTATCATAGTGCAAATGAACTCCTACTGCATGCCAAAGACTATGAAAGTGATATACAAGAGTTAAAGTAAGTGATTCTGGATGGAGAAGAGAAAGAGATCAGTTTAGTTTGGGGTGGACAAAAAGGAATACTTTCTTGAAAAAAGGGCAGTTTAACTGAACTTTAAATGGATATAATTTCAAAAGATGGAGGTAAGTAAGAGGTCCCTGAGAGGAAGTGTTGGGAAGAGGGACACAGTGGGTGGGGATGCCTGGACGAGGGGAGGCAAAGAGACCCCATGGCTGAGAATGTTAGGAGGAGAGAAAAGCATGTGCAATGGCAAAGGGGTAGACAAGAATGTGCTGTATTTGGGGAACAAATGACCCATGTTGATTATATTGACCACAAAAGGCAGAAATTGAAGTAGTTAGAAAGGGTAAGTCAGAATCCTATTTAGACATGCCTTGAATACCAGGCTGGGGAGTGGCATGAGTAGGGTGAGCCATCCTGTGGCTCCATGGAAAGGATTCTGGTGACTTGGATGGCTCTTCTCACCAGTCACGATGGCTGAATACAGGCTAGCAAAGTTATTCCATAAATCCTAAACCATTGTTCTGGAACGTCTTTAGATATAAAGTTACTTGATCAACATCTCTACTGTCAATATTGAATGTATATTTCTTAAGCAAAACAAGTGTAATTTTACTAAATCCACTTTTTAAAGTATCCCAACTGAAGTCTAATTTGGCATTTGGCCAGTTTAAACAAAAAAATGAATGAGAAATATAAAAAATGAACACGGTTTTTATTTTCATTGGTTATGTGACCACCTTCTCACTACATACATCAGTTAGCAAAGTCTGCTTTCAACTGTGGAAATTTCATTATCACATCTAATTCTGGTTTGGTAGCACATTAAACTTTCAAACAGTTAATGACTCTGGTTTTCTTTCTGTTCAGCTTTACCTTTCATAAAGCACCGGCAAGAGGAAAGAAATGACAGTAAGACTGAATTATGAACTTTAAAAAGTTGAGAACAAGTAACTACTTGTACTGTGAAAGCTACTCTCTCTGCTGTTGATTAACTGTCTGCAATAGGTCAGTGGTGAGCACTGTGTACCGTGGCGATGATTGTTGCAGCAGACAGGCAGAGTAAATCACAGAGATGAGTGGGGGACCCAAAGGGAGGAATTTCTTTTAGCCTCCTATTTAACACATAGAGATTACTGAAACTCTGCTTTCATAAAATGGCTCATTTCACAGACTAATTTCCAATATCTTCCATAGATCACAATTTTAACAAAAAACAAAACAGCATTTGTAGTGAAGAATAGATTAGTTTTTGCTTACCTTGAAGTTCTTTGGAAATTGGTGAGTGAAGACTTTTTGAATAAGACTTTGATGCCAGAACTTTGTGGGTGGAGAGCAGGGAGAGGTTGTGTGTATGTATGTATGTACATATAATCTATATATAATATATGTATATCTATATATATGCACAGTTTCATGTATAACACACATATTTACACACACATGCACATTCACAATATATATTGATGGGAATATCAGGAAGGAAGAAAGAAAGATTAGCTGATCTCTTACCATATTTTCTCCATTGAGATTGGTTCTAATATCCCTCCATTTTAGATGAATCTGAGGCTCAGAGAAGTTAAATAAATTAGATAAATAAATAATTTAATTGCATAAATTAAATAAATGTAGGCCCAAAGTAAAAAATCCAGAAGATAGTGGGATCCTAATCTAGGTCTAACTGGTCACCAAAGCTCAGAATACAGGCTCACACTCTTTCCACCTCATCCCCTGCTTTCTTTTCTTTATTCTCCTGCTAGTGTTATATCAAAATGTGTAAAAATGGTTCTCAAAAGAAATACAATAAAGTAAGTAAAAATGACTTAAATTTATTAAAAAGATGTTACTTAGCCAAAATGAAGACCAGAGAGGAAAACACACCATGAGGCTGGATGTGAATTTAATGACAAAGATGACTCTCATTTTCTTAGCAGCCAAGCCAAAGAAACAAAAGTGAACAATATACAAACGAGTTACTCGGAATTACCCCCAAAGAACAACATTACAGTTTTATATGGCTTGTTTCTTATGATGCCCTTTGTCTGTGATGTTTGCTATAGCTCTCCGATGGTCTAGCTCAATTTCTCATTTTATCATTATAATCTCATACATTTTTATGCATGGTGCACACATGGACTCCTTGGCACAAAGAAATAAAATGTTGAACAAGTCCACACCTCAGGCTATATTAATCCTCACTGGAGAGATAAGCTGTCATCATTAAGAAGTAACTGTCGAGTAAGGGGGTTGATCTAGCAGACTATAGAGAATCCTTACACCGTAGTCATGCCATGGTCATGTATGTGCATCTTAGTGTGCCTGTGCATGTGTCTTACAACACCCTGTCATATGTCTTTGTCTTACTTTGCCATCTATTTATTATTCTCATTGTTACTCATGAAGAAGCCTTTCTACATACCTTCAAATGACAGTTATTTCACAACTCTATACCGTTTTCATCTAGACCTTTACATGTTCTGATAATGGAGTCTATGCCATCGAGAACATTTGTAATCGTAAATGAATGCCTTTTTGTGCATCGGTTAGGTGGGATGACTTGTAAAGATGAGGTTTGTAAAGAAGAGTTTGAAGACTGAAGATCTGCTAGACAAAGTAGAAAACTAAGGAACCTGATGCTGGCTCCACAAGTTCTCACACTTGCTTTTAGTTTGTTAAAAAAAAAAAAAAAAAAAGAGTAGGCTTCAAGTTCATTTTATTTGATTGGGTGCAATAGTGTTCCAAGAAAATATAAGATTACTTTCCCTCTTGTTTGCCTTGATATATATACTCTGTAGGGAATCATAATTATAGAAAAAAGTTCTTCTTCTTTATTAAATCTAATTTAATATAAACTTGCTGTTTAGAAAAATACTAAAAATGAGTTTTACTAGCCTGATTTGTTTTTACAGAAATACTATCAACCGAATAGAACTGAAAGAGAAATCAAAATATTCTTACATCCATTCTGAATCTAACATTCTCCAGTATATCAGAGAATCAGGCTCCATAAAAACGGCTAAGCAAACTAGGTCACAGATAACAAGGTAGCAATTAAAATGACTATATCAATTATTTGGTTATTTCCCAATATTTCACTCTGTAGGATCTTTTATATAGGACCCTCATTTAGTACTCTACTATGAAGAGAAAACTGTTTTTTAACATAACATTATTTATAGAATCATTTAAAATATGATGAATGGGAAACGAGCATTCATTAAAAAGGCTGGGGGGGATTACCAGAGAGCTCTCATTTAGAAATATCTTCAACTAAAATGACTGAATTATAGTTGATGTGGTAAAGAAGAAATTTAATATGTTACCTAAAGAATATCATTTGGAATGTTTTAGTTTGTCTCCTCTCTGCTCTAGGAAATATGCTTTCTCCAATAGTGGATTTCCTACTGCACTTTACATCAGTGCTTTTTCCACTGTTGTTCCTTTCTTAAACCTAGATTAACCTATTACTTTAAAAACCTGGACCTTTTACAGTGTTCTAGGAAACCAAGCCTGAGTGACCAGAGACTTGCACAAATGATTTTATTGAGCCTGTTCTGTTTATTTAACTGCTCTTATTTGATCCTTATAATTGAATTCTTACACCCTCCCAAAAGACAAAACCTTGTACTTTGAATTGTACCATACATTAAAACGAGTTGTTGAGAGCTTTCTAGTATTACTAAACCTCCTTATGGCTTTTTGGAGCCAGTTCTCCTGAGATTATGTTTGGCTGTCAGAGGGAAGTCAATAGGAGCAGGGGTTTCAAACTATACCAAAGAGCTGAGAAAGATTCCACTGATTCAGCATCTGTCCTCACTGCCCTAGGTAGGGTTCACTAGCATATATTTTCTAAAAAATAAATATTAGGGAAAGTATATGTGGTCAGATCCCATGCTGCATGCTGGGGGATTCAGGTTTGGTCCTTGCCCTTGGACAGTTCTATTCCCTTTATGTACTCTGATTAAAATCAGTTTTACTGCACAAAGATTTGTTTTCAGAGGAATTTCCCAGGAAAGCCTTTTTTCCACATTTCAAACTATGGTCCTACTGTCACATTCAGAATTTGAGATCCTTTTAAAAACAGTAATAGAAGATTCAAACTTATGTTACTACTAGTGAATGATAAATTTCCTTTGAAATGACTTTACACATTTAGGCTATCGTTACTATGCTACTTTTAAACTATGGTAGTAATTGAAGAATTTTCACGATATGGCTTTGCCCCAAAGTGTACCAAGTAGGAATTTGATTAACAGCAACCAACCAAGGAAAGCCTAAAGTTCCAGCGCTGGTGTGTTATTCCTTGTCTTCAATGTGCCTTAGGATCCTTCGACATTTCTGCTCCACAGTTGTGACGAAGGAAGTTCTGTACAAAATGTGACCATTTTAGGCAGAAAGAAAAGGGAGGGGAAAAGGGCACATAAATGTGCCAGCTGAATGAGTCTCACTCAACAGCTTCTGCTTACATTTATTGGTAGAACTTAGTCATAGGCTCCCTACCTTTAAGGGAGGCTGGGAAATACAGTCTTTAGCTAATTATACTGCAACCCTTAGCTACATCGGGTTCTGTTCATAAAGAAGGAAGAGTAAATTGTTCATAAAGAAGAAAGAAGAAGGATATCATGTTGGCAACTAATCATCTCCGCTTTAAGTCTCAAAATAAAAAATAGCAATCTGGGCCAGACATGGTGGCTCACACCTGTAATCTTAATATTTAGAGAGCCCAAGTTGGAAGGATCACTCAAGCACAGGATTTTGAGACCAGCCTGGGCAACACAGTGAGTGAGACCCTGTCTCTACAAAAAAATTAAAAATTAGCTGGATACTGTGGTGTGTGCCTGTAGTCCCAGGTACTTGGGGCATTGAGGCAAGAGGTTACTTTGAGCTCGGGTGTTTGAGGCTATGATGAACTATGATTGTAGTGCTGTACTCCAGCCTGTGCAAAAGAGTAAAACCTTGTCTCAAAAAAAAGGAAAAAAAAAAAAAGAGAGAAAAAGCAAAAAACAAGCAAAACAAAAACAAACAAAAAGACAAAAAATAGAAATGTGGCTCAGAGTTTTAAATAAAAACAAAACTCTAAGTGGTCAAAAGAATGTAGTGTCTAAGAGAAAAGTTAGGCTTATTTCCTAACTGTGCTAGATTGTGGCAGTTTCTTCCATATTTGTTGGCTGAATTCATTTGAGCTACCATGAGGTAGAGAAATAAAACCTGGACCAGTAGTCAGGCGAAGGAGGTTCCACTCTCAAATCTGCTGCATTGTTACTTGCAGTGAATTTATCTTTCTGAATTCCAGACTGAATTAATGATTTTCAAATTTTTCTTAAAGCAATGAAACACTTTGTTCAAACAGAGGCCACCTGTAAAATACCCAGCACTACTTGGGTTGAAGTTGGATGTGGTGATAGTAGATCAGAAATCCTACTTGGTTGGCTGGGAGCAGTGGCTCATGCCTGTAATCCTAGCACTTTGGGAAGCCGAGGTGGGTAGATCACTTGAGGTCAGGAGTTCGAGACCAGCCCTGGCCAACAGGTGAAACCCCCTCTCTACAAAAATAGAAAAATTAGCCAGGTGTGGTGGCTCACACTGGTAATCCTAGCTACTCAGGAGGTTGAGGCAAGAGAATTGCTTGAACCCGGGAGGCAGAGGTTGTAGTGAGCCAAGATCGCACCACTGCACTCCAGCCTGGATGACAGAGTGAGACTGTCTCAAACAACAACAACAGCAACAACAAAGAAGTCCTACATGGCTTCTGAGCCTTTTCCTGACTTTAATATTCCACATGTCATCATTAAGGCGAGACCAAACCCTAGTTGCCCTAAGAAGCCATGTGGTACCACTTGGAGTACGTCTAGGCATTATTAAATGTAGTTTTCAAAACACTGTCTTTTATTTTGTTCAACAAATGAATTACATTTCCCTTTTCTTTCTGTTACTCATTTTCAATAGTCTCCATTTTGTAAAACTTCTTACTACATTCTTTTCAAACTGTGGAAATAGTGTGTGGCTCCTGGGAAATTCTCAGAGGTTTAAATTTTTGCATTTTCCCCAAAATTTGTTTGGTTTCCTACATGGATTTTTTTTTTTAACCCTCTGCCCAATACTTAAATCACATTTACAACATCACACATAGCTCATGGGGAGAATAGTAATGTTTTTGCTTCAAAGGTCATCATAACAGGAGGTCAGTGAAAAATCAAATATGACTTTAAAAACATAAGAGCAGAAAGACACCCACAAAACTGGGCATGTGGATTGAGCGCTAGATGGGTGGTCAACCCAACCCAGACACTCCAGCAGTAGTCCAACCACATAACATACCGGAAAACTCCAAAGTTGCTAACTAAGAAGCTAGTTTTATTTTATTTATTTTTTTTCAAGAATTCTATTTCTAGTCACTGCTATCAAGAGGTAGAAAATGTGCTGATTTCTTGTGTTACTTCATATTGGTCTTTTATATAAGGTGTTTTTATGAAGATATAAAATGTATTTACACTTTGGGGTTTTATGAACATAGAATAATACTCAATAACTCAGCATTTTCTTAGTGTACCAATTGAAATCATCAAAAATAACCTTTAATTTTTGCATACTACATGTTTATAAGTTAAAAATTTTAATGAGCTAGTAGTTCACATAGTTTCATTAGTTTATTTTTTACTATTCTGAATAGAATCTTAGACTTATAAAATCTTATCACTTTAATGTTGCCTGTTAATTCAAGATTCCATGAAGTATTTTCTTTTGGTTGGAGATCAAAGTTTTGGAGTTAATCATATTTTAAACATAATGAAATTTATAAAGTGTATGAATTGCTGAACTTTTTATATCCGTTCACATCAGAAAATGTGTCAGACTGAGTCTGGCTTTTGATCACTAAATTAAAAAAAAAACCAAATACTTGTTTAGTTATTAAAGCGTATTATGTGGAATATTTGATACTCACATCCATATATTTATTTTGGTCGTTCACCTTTAAGATAGAGTTAGAGACAATTCTTCTTTCACATGCAAAAAGAGTATGGGATAAAAAATGTCCTTTACTGTGAGTTCATGTCCTTTGTAGGGACATGCATGAAGCTAGAAACCATCATCCTGAGCAAACTATCACAAGGACAGAAAACCAAACACCGCATGTTCTCACTCATAGGTGGGAATTGAACCATGAGAAAACTTGGACACAGGGTGGGGAACATCACACACCGGGGCCTGTCTTGAGGTGGGGGGAGGGGGGAGGGGAGAGGGATAGCATTAGGAGAAATACCTAATGTAAATGATGAGTTAATGGGTGCAGCAAACCAACATGGCACATGTATACATATGTAACAAACCTGCATGTTGTGCACATGTACCCTAGAACTTAAAGTAAAAAATAAAATAAGAAAAAAAGTCCGTTACTTTTTTTTTTAAATTGAGTTGTAATTGAATATCTCTAGCTTAGATCTTTTCCCTTATTTCCAGACACACACATGTATAGTAACTCCTTGACATATGAAATGGAATAATTATTAGAGAAACATGAATAATCCAAAAATTCACTTATCAAAATAATTTTCCTATAAGAAATTATAGCAAAGGACTTTGTAACATACTTTTCAAAGCTGTGTGGCTTCCTATTAATTTTCTATATGTTAACAGACTGAACCAAAACACCAAGGACCACAGTCCTCCACTCTTGGGCACCCCTAGAAGAGAAGATTGACACCCACTCCTCCTGTTCTTACCTTCTTGGTATGCCCTGTGGAGCGCTGGCCAATAAACATAGTCAAGGGGAAGGATTTCTCTGGCTTTTTTTCTTTCTTCCACCAGATTTCCCAGTAAGCAAGACAACTAGAACACAGTTGGTTTTTTGTTTGTTTGTTTGTTTTTGTTTTGTTTTGCTGTGATTCAAGGCTAAATCAAAATGAGTAAAATTCAAAAAGCAAATTTTGCAATGTGGAAAATTCAAGTATAGCCAACAATTTCAAAACTACAAAACTACAAGTCTAGAGTTAGCAGCAGCTTACAGTGAGTGCTGTTGACTAGTTTACTACGTCTGCAGACCGTGCAGTGAGAGTGTGTGGCCCAGACTGAAATGCATGCTGTTTTGAGGGCTGCAAGGGTAAACTGTATACCATATAAACCAAGAAGTGTGCTCTAGTCAATTTTCTAGCAGCTATCCCAGGTTACCCCAACACTGACCTCATCATATTCTCTCCTCAACAGATTCATTTTTTAGTATTCCCTATCTCACCTGAATTACTGTAGTAACCCTCTGGCTCCCCTGAGTCATTTACACTTTGGCCAGAATGATTTTTCTGAAACACCAATCTGATGAAGCCACTCGCTGAAATGTCTAAAGTGGCTCTCGATCAATTTTAGCGTAAAAATCTAGACATGGCGTAAGAGGCTGTTGACCATCAGGGCCTGTCTTTTAGTCCAGCTTCATTTCTCTCTTTACCCCTGTGTACACCAAGGCTCCAACTGCATCTAAAGCCTGGAGTTTTCTAAAAGCACCTTCAGGCCCATGCTTTCATGCTGTAGCATCTGTGGTTCCTGCTGCTTGGAATTCCCTTCTCTATTATTTGGCCAGTTACTCATCTTTGAAAACTTATTTCAGCATGACCTTTTCTGTGAAGTTTCCTTGGGAATCTTCCCTGGAGCCCTCTCATCCTCCAGCATCTTTTAACATAGCATTTACCTTGGGGATTTGTAATTGTGAATTCACCAGGGACATCTCTGAATGCAATGGGTGCTCTTTGTATCTAAGTGTTTACAATGTGTAGTTCAGTGCTTGACCCTCAGTAGAAGCTCACTAAATAAATATTTGCTGAATGAGTGAATGGATGGTCAGAAACCATACGACTTGGCTTGGAATGGGCTGTTCAGTAGTTTGTCTCTTGGTGCATGTAGAATCAAGATCACAAAGTATATCCAGTTGGACTAGATTTCTTGTTGTGTATGTAAGCCTTGAAAACTGAGAGTCTAGTGTACATAAACCAACTAAAATTGATCTCTGGGATAGATAAGAAGATCCTAAGAGTGTCCAACTACTAGTGGTAGTGACAGTGGTGGAGGTGAAGAACCATTAATTACTAGGATATAAGAATCAAGATGTGATTGTGGTGCTAAGGAGAAATTAATTTAAATATTTTCCATTCAATTATATTTAGGAATAATAAAAATTCTGAAAATAGTCTAAGTTTTTGCTTTTAAAAAAATGATCAAGTTTGAGGCTGGGTGCGGTGGCTCAGGCCTGTTATCCCAGCACTTTGGGAGGCCAAGGCAGGTGAATTGCTTGAACTCAGGAGTTCGAGACCAGCCTGGGCAACATGGTGAAACCCCATCTCTACTACAAATACAAAAATTAGCTGGGCGTGCTGGCATGCACCTGTAGTCTGGGAGGCAAAGGTTGCAATGACCAGAGATCGCGCCACTGCACTCCAGTCTGGGTGATAAAGCAAGACCCTGTCTCAGAAAAAAAAAAAAAATCAAGTAAGAAAGTAATTTCATTTCAGTGGGGAAAGTATTTGGTTAATATTCTTCCTGGATGTTTATATATTTATATAAATTGTGTGAATTTCCAGTAAATGAAAAGCAGTCCTTGTTATTGTTTATCTAATATTTTTATTACAGGTTCTCTAAACATGAATATGCCTTTGGGGGAAGACAGAAGAACATGGAAGCCATGTGAAAAAAACGGATCCTAAGGTATAAACAAAGTGCAGATGATTGTCGGCCATGCTGCAGGGATTTCTTGTTTGTCTTCTCAGTAGTGTTAGCTAATTTTGTCTTCCAATCCGCAATTCCTTATAGGACTTGGACGCTTTGAACCTCTCAGGACCCCTCAGATTCTAGTACATAAACTCGGAGCCAAATTCACAGCCAGCTCTCCTTCAAACTGCCTTATCTGTTTTTGAGTTAATTAGAAGGGCCTTTTAACAACTTTGCATTTGAGTCCTAAGAAAAGTCTAGTTCATTAGGCAATAAAGCCACTGTGCTGGCCCCTAATCAAGGTCAGTACATATCATTATACGACTGATCCAAATTTGAGTTGGTTCAGTTATTTCATTTGTTCATTGTCCACAATGTTCCAGTCACAGTACCAGGTGCTCAGAGTGTGGTGTTAGAGACAAGATTCAAAGTAAGTAATTTTAGACCAATGTCATATGCGCCATTATAGAAGTACGGCTGAAAATGGAATTTATATAAATAAGCATGTGAGTGGTTCACTAAACAGGGATGGGCAAGAAAGACCTTACAGAAGAGATGAATATCTTAGCGAATAACTTAGCAGGATTTCAAAGAATGGACGAGAGTTTTGCAGGCAGATGAGATAGGAAGGGTGCCAGAGAGAAAGGAAAGCATGGGCAAGGGCTCAGGAGGTGGGGAAAAATGTGATATAGTTTGAGGTACTGGAGTATGAAGTTAACAAGGGGAGAATATTTAGAAGGAAGGATGGAGAAGTAGGCAGAGAGCAGATTATCAGGTTAAAATATTAGAAATTAGTATTGAAGTTTACTAGAAGCCAGCAGCACGTTCAATGCAAGCAGGTGCCATGGTCATATTAGTTTTAGTTTAGTAATCAGTGTAGAAGGTGGATGAGAGGGGGTGAGTCTGGAGGCAATAAGCATAGTTGGTAGTAGCAGTCTAGGTGTCACCTGACAGGGGCCTTTACTAGCCCAGTGGTGGACATTTTTAATGCATTAGTCTTTCTTCTAGTCTGTGAATTTCTTATAACGAGGGTGTGGTCTTCCTCACACTTGTTTCTTCACACTTGTTGCCTACTATCATACCTGACATGCAGTAAATTACCATAGCAAGACAAAAAATCTCTTAAACGTGTACTCTTTATTACTCTGTTGGACCATGATGAGAGCAACTTATTGTATGGCTATTTAAAATTATTTATGAAGATAATATTTTTTGTGTTGGAAATGCTACAATAATTTAATTGTGAGATTTATAACTAAGACTTATTGTTCACATTTGTTTTATGTTTTCATATATGTGATGAAATAGACAATTTACTCTGTAAGTCTTAAATATAAAAATGATTCATTATTTCTTTCTGAGCCAGGGATATACTTGAATTTCTTTTCTCCAGTAGTAGCAATAGATGTATACAAATTAACATATATTTCTCATTCCATTCTTGTATAAAATAGCATACATAACTAGTTTGAACAGCTAGAGCATAATAAACTCAAACTCTTTATGGATTCACTCTTTCCCTACCACAGTTGAAATATTAGGTAAGTTCTATATCTTTTTCATCGCCTTTTGGACGATAAAAGAAGTACTCTAGTCACTTACAGTCAGAACCCCATTTAGGTAATTAAAATGACTAGTCCATGCAATAATCAGTAATCTCAGGTTCCCGTAAATTTAAAAGTTTTCATTTCCCATGTTGGTTCCACTGCCATTCCCCTAACCACTGGCTCTGGGTTTTTCACTGTTCCTTGGTGGAGAAAGAGGGAGGAGAGGCAAGGGCAGGGATGCCAGTGGTCTGCATTGCCTTGTTGCATTAGGCTGGTGCAAAAGGAATTGCAGTTTTTGCCACTACTTTAAAGTCAAAAACCGCAATTAGTTTTGCACCAACCTAATATGCTCTCAGCTGATGTGGGACACTCTTGTGGGTTCTGCAGAAATTCCCTCACTAGAGCCATCTAGTCTCTTTCTCTCTTGTTTGTTTGCTTCAATAGCTCCTCAGCTTCTACATCAGTTAGTACCCCATAGCTTCTTTATGCCAAGGTTGCCTCATCCTCAGAAAAAAAATCCTTTTAAAAGAAACTCTTACCCAGATGTCATCTAAAGAGCCCACACTGGGTCATGGAAACACCAACCTCTGCTTTATTGTCTGTGGAAGTGCAGCTGGCTCCAAGGACAGCTGTATCTCTTTGCATTGCCTCTAAGTAGGCAACTCCAGATATAGAGTCTTTTGCCTGAAATTTCTCAAAGGTAGACTAAACACGTGTCTCCTCTGTCCTCCAAGCTTTAGGGAATCAACATTAAACTCTCTGTGAGGTGTTCTTGATGCCTCTCTTACAGATGAGGGAGATGAAAAGTAGCAACAGCCTCCAACAACATTCTACAGAGAAATTCTTATGTCTCTCAGTTTCCTCAATATCAACTGTTTCAGACCCTTGAGTAGATGTTGAGTCACTAAGCAGTTTCAGTCCACTTCCTTTCAGGTCTTGTTTAGGAGGTCCATTGCCTTATTTTAGAATGTGGGAGAACTTGCTACCTATTGTTTCCGTTTTGATTTTGGGGGCCTCCCCCAAAACTTAGATAGAAAGAATCTTTCCTGAATACCTTGTTACAGAGACAAGTGTAAGATATCTGTAAATCATGGCCATAAACTAGAATAAAATGAGTTGGTTTATTGGAGATGTAAATGCTTAACCTTGGTGTACAATAAGCACAATATTGATGTACAACAATGCTGAGCATCATTTTAAAATGTAAAATCAAACAGAAATCAGTAAAATCAACAAAAATTCCTTACCATCTCCTAAATGCTGGTTTATTCCAGGTGCTTGATATGCAAAAATTAAGCATATGATTCCTTTCCTCATGGAGCTAGCTATCTAGCGAGAGAATAGAATGCTGAAATATGTTCAAAAGTAATCACAATACAACTTAACATCACAATGGAAAGTTCTACAAACACTTCAGGGCACATGGAAGATGGAGTATCTGAGTTTAAGAAAGTCTTTGCAAAGGACATTTGAACAGGCTCTTGAATGAAGATAGGACTTCTCTAGGAAGAAAGGAGGAAAGGGCATCCCAGATGCACAATGGGATGTGTAAGGGTTGGATAGGGAAGGTTAGGATGGTGTGGTGTGGGAACTGTGAAGAAAGTGTAGCTGGTACATAAGCCTGGAGCAGTTACAAGATAATTGGGAAATTGCAACGACTGTTTAGAGCCAAAAAGTTTAAACTTCCTACAGACAATAGGAAATTATAATTATTACTATTTGTTACTTTTCAAGTGTTTACATAAAAATATCACACACATTTTACATCAATATATAAAGACGATCATACATATTGTTTTTCCTCTTCATTTTTTAATTGGCTCCTGCCTCCCAATTTTCTCTCTCCTTCCTGTCTTATCCCCCTTCTCTACCCACATCTTTCCTTCCCCAACTCATGTTAACACTTATTTCGTATCCTTTCTTTGTTTTCTCCTTGGCTATATAATTATATTCAAGCATACAGTATATGTATATATTCAATATCCATATACATCGGGTTTTTTTGGCCATTGTTTGCTTTACAAAAGAATACTTTGCATATTTTTCTGCATCTTGCTTTTTTTTACTTGACTATTCTTAGAGGAAATGTCTCCAAGTCAACAGGGCTAGCTCATTGCAGGCTGTTAAATGACATAATCAGAATTTTATATCTGAGATATGATGTTAGAGTGGACAATGAGTTTAAAAGGGGATAGAAACTGGAGGAAGGAGATAAACTGAGACATTAATCAAGTGAAAAATGATGGGGGCTTTAGCCAATGCAGTCACAGTTTTGGCAAGGACATGTCCTTAGCACATACAAGTCTCAAATAAAAAATGATTTACTATATAATGCATCTCAATAAAATGCCAATGCCCACCATCATCTGTGTCTAAAAATTTATATTAGATGCTCTAAATATGCTGCTTGAGAAGCATAGGTTCAAAATATTTACCATTAGCTTAGCTGGAGTTTTGAGAAAAGGTGCTTTAACTCTTCCATATACATCCATATTTATTTCTCTACTTCCTCCTTCATTCTGCATATTTTCCTGCAAAATATCCCTAATCTCAAACTAGTTTTGAAACTCAATGACTAAATCCACTGATGGTTTAGTTTAGAATTCATATCTACATTGTCTTTGAATAACAGCAACATTTTCCATCTTCCAGTAATACTATAATCCTTCTTTAGGTTGCTCAGTATTGGATGTGATTATGCTACTTGTTATCCAGATTGCAATTAATGCAATCATGTAACACATTACTAATGCCAGCTAGTGGTCTTAGCATATTATAGTATAAATTTTCACAAGTTTTCTATATTTATAAATGCCTTTTCACCATCCAAACTGGGTAAATATTTCATTGGAACATCCAGTATATCATTATCAGTCCTGTTAAACAAGTCTGGTTATTCTGCGAATAAAACCCCGCTTGTCATAATCATGATAAAGATAACATGACCTTTCCAACCTTCTGCCCCATTTTCAACCTCAGTCTAGCCAGTAATTTTGTTTTGTTTTGTTTTGTCTTTGAGTTGGAGTCTCTCTCTGTCACCCAGGCTGGAGTGCAGTGGCATCATCATCATAGCTCACTACAGCCTTGAACTCCTGGGCTCAAGTGATCCTCCTGCCTTTGCCTCCCAAGGAGCTGAAACCACAGGTGACTGTCACAATGCCTGGCTAGTTTTTAAAAAGATTTTTGCGGAGACAAGGTCTCACTTTATTGCCCAGTGTGGTTTCCAACTCCTGGGCTCAGCTTGCTTTGATCTCCCAAAATGCTGGGATTACAGATGTGAGCTATTGTGCCCAGCCCAGTAATTTGTTACTAATCATAAAGCACCTAGGATTCTAAGAATTTAATTGTTTTAAAAATTAATTTTAAAAATGTAAATATTTCAGAAAAATACATAGAATAATAGAACATCTATGGCCAGAACTAATAATTGTTAACATTTTGTCTTACTTATTTCCCATTAACCACCAATGTTAATCCTAATCTACAATTCCTTACCTATATAATCTCTATGATGAATTTGGTGTGCATCTTTCTTGTTCATGTTTATTTTTTATACACATAAGTATCATAAATATTTTATACCTTTCGGTTTTAAAATGTTTATAGTAGTTACATTACTACATTTATCATTTTCACCTTCCTTTCTCCTCAATATCATTTTCTGAGAACTCAACCATATATAACTAAACCTATTTTAGTAGGACCAACAGTATTTCAAGGATTATGCATATTTGTATATTTGTGTTTCTATGGGCACACACTCAAAAGCTGTCCACCATCAATGTTAGGGGCTGAATGAATTTGTCCTCTTAAAATTCACACGTTGAGGCTGGGTGTGGTGGCTCATGCCTATAATCCCAGCACTTTGGGAGGCCTAGGCAGGCAGATCACCTGAGGTCTGGAGTTTGAGACCAGCCTGACCAACATGGAGAAATCCGTCTCTACTAAAAATACAAAATTAGCCAGGTGTGGTGGTGCATGCCTGTAATCCCAGCTATTTGGGAGGTTGAGGCAGGAGAATTACTTGAACCTGGGAGGTGGAGGTTGCAGTGAGCCGAGAGTGCACCATTGCACTCCAGCCTGGGCAACAAGAGAAAAACTCCTCCTCAAAAAAAAAAAAATTCACATGTTGAAGTCCTCACCCCCAACATGACTGTATTAGGAGGTAGGGTCTTTGGGAAGTAATCAGGTTTGGATGAGGTCATGAGAGTGGGCCCCCCATGATATTATTAGTGCCCTTATAAGAAGAAGAGGAGACATGAAAATTTTTCTCCCTCTTTTTTTCTGTCTCTGCACAAAGAGGTTATATGAATAGACAGTGAGATGGCAGCCATCTCCAAACCAGGAAGAAGGCTTTCACTAAGAACCAAATCCATCAGCACCTTCATCTGGACTTCCTAGTCTCCAGATCTATTAGAAATAAATGTCTATTGTTTAACCCATCCAGTCTATGGTGTTTTGTTATGGAAACCCAAGTTAAGACTGCCAGGAAGTGGAATCACCAGATCATAGCATATGCCCGTTTCCCATTTGAAATTTAACTATATGTTGCCAAGTTACTCTTCAAAGTGGCTGTGCCAACTTACACTCTTGTTTTTTAGGATACCTATTATTTGACATTGTTATTCAGTAATAAGATGGATAAGAAGGGTGTCTCATTATTGTTTAAATTGTGTTTAAAAATTACTTGCCAGATTGAGGTTCAAAATGTTACCTGGGGGCAGAAGGCTGGAAGAGGTCATGTTATCTTTATCATGATTATGACAAACAGGGTTTTAAATTGTGTTTTTCTGATTGCAAATGAATATATATGTGGATTTATATATGCATATTTTTTTCTGTGTATAAAATCCCAGTAGAAACTTTGATCTGAATTAATGCTGTATGATAAAGTGAGAATTGGAATTTACCAGAGAATGAATCCACAAAATTGGTATTCCACCATTTATCTCCAAAACATTTAAGTTTCCCAATTTGCTAGACAGTGTAAGTATTAGGAAGTCAAACTCTTACAGTTGTAATTTATTATAACAATGGTACTTCAGAGCTCAACTTGGGGGAGAAAAATTATATTTAAGGCAGAAGACTATTTGATTATGAAATAACAAAATCATAATCAGTTTGAATGGCAATTGAGAGAAAGTAAAGACAAAAAAATAGATTAATTGCTTTTTTCTTTTGAATGATTTGTTTGAATTTGTATATTAAGTTCTTTGATACCACCCAAATTTGAATAACTCTTTATGTGTTTGTAAAGGAGAAACAAGAATGCAAAATACTGGTCTCAAGTGGTAACTGGGCACACCTACACAAAATCTTTGCTTTTTTTCTTACCACACAACTAACTGAAACATAGACTGCAAAAAAATTGACCATTGTAAAAATAGTAAGTCTCCCATTGAATCAGTTCACATTCATGCAGAGTGCTGTGGACGAAAGGAAATAGGGTATGATTTGAAATGGCATTTGAAGTGCCCTTTAAATAATAATTAATTATTCTCTTAAATGAAACTTTTGTTTTAAGAGAACAATTTTTTTTTCTCCCAAGAAATAAAAAGAGCCTGGGGAGAATATAGGAAGTGCAGGGTGGTCCATATAAAATAATGGATCACTATAATTCTAAATGGAACCCATTTTTCATTAGCCCCACAAAATTGTTGCTGATTTCCAAATTCGAGTATTTCTTTCATAACGGAAAACTAAACCTTGGTGGGAGAATGCTGATTTTTGATTGATTTTGGATCTTAGGGAAGCATCATGAAAAAGAAAGAATCGAGAATGAATGAAAGAAAGAAAGGAAAGGGGAAGGGGAGGAGAGGGGAGGGGAGGGGAGGGAAGGGAGCGGTGACTCAAGCCTGTAATCCCAGATCTTTGGGAGGCTGAGGCGGGCGGATCATGAAGTCAGGAGATCGAGGCCATCCTGGCCAACATGGCAAAAACCCGTCTCTACTAACAACAACAGCAACAACAACAACAAATTAGCTGGATGTGATGGTGTGTGCCTGTAATCCCAGCTACTCAGGAGGCTGAGGCAGGAGAATCGCTTGAACCCAGGAGGCAGAGGTTGCAGTGAGCCAAGATCGCACTGCTGTGCTCCAGCCTGGCAACAGAGCGAGACTCTGTCTCAAAAAAAGAAAAAAAAAAAAGAATTAATGAATGGCAGGAAGGAAAGAAAGAGAAAAGGAAAGATGGAGGGAGAGAGGGAGGGAGGGAAAAAGAGAGACAGGGAGGTGGGATGGGAGGGAGGGAGGGAGAAAGGAAGAAAGGGAGGAAGGAAGAAAGGAAGGGAGGATGGGTCCCTGTGATTTTGGCACTGGAATGGCCTGGTCTCAAACTCTGGCCTTACCATTAGTTTTTTTTACATTTGATCTTAGCCAAAAGTCTGAGAAGAAGAAGAAGTTCTACCATTAGTTTTTTGGGTAAGTCACTTAAATAGCTCGAGTTTTTGTTTCCTTCATATGAAAAGTAGAGAGAACAATACATATCTTATAGAGTTCTTGTAAAAATGAAATGAGGGACTCTATAAATTGAATAACTTATGCCTGCCACATGTAGTAGCTCATTCCCGTCCAAATTTCCCATCTTTAGGAGTTTAAAAATATTTTTTTCAAAAGTACAGAATTAAAATGAAATATTTTTCATTGAATAAATTATTTTGCATGAATTCTGGTACCATATCTCACTGGCCCAAACACTAGTATTCAATCAAGTCATTAATCAAACTTCTTGCAAAATACATTTATTCCATATAGTTTAGACTTAACAGCATTTCTCAAGTGTGCTTCCCAGAATGTTACTCTCATGAAATTCCCTTGTAAAGAAGGTTTTCCTAATCTCATAAATTTGGAAAATGCTGTACTTTATCTCGTTACCTCTCTGAAAAGTCTTCCAGTCAATATAGCTGCTTAAATTTGTTTAAGCCTATGTTTTCCTATTTCATTTGGCCATGGAAATTTTTTTAGGTAATTTCTATTTATAGTGCATGGAATACATTTTGTGAAATGTTCATATAAGTGATCTGATTTGTTCCAGCAACCCAGCATGCAAATATAGTCATACTTCTTTTGATGAAAAACAAAATGTGAAGGCTTGATTTGCCATTATTAGCAGGAACTTACTGTGTTTGGCCACCATGTTCATCATTTTCTACCCTACACCATTCTCTTGAGTTGTCTAAGAATTCTGATATTTGTTACTCAATCCAAAATGTTTTTTTCTGCTTTCAAACACAAAGCAGAGAATAAACCGAAAGCCTGATTTCCTTCTACCAGAGGCTAGTGTTGCATAGTTCAACGAAAGCTGGTCCAGATGCCTCTCTTTGCTAGCCTTGACATTGAAAATGGTGCCTCATACTGGGGCAGTGATATTAGAGTGTCATTGTATAGTCATTGTGCATTCACTGCTCCCCAAAGAACAACACAGTCTGGAGGGTCTGGCTTCAGAATCAGCCTTGCTTCCTAACCACATAGACTCTCATGTTGAGTCTGGGCTGCCAGCTCAGACTCCCTTTGCCCTCCTGGTGAGTTCCCTCTTGCAGGCTTGCTGTTCTTTTGGACCAGGAGATGATGTACAGAGTCACCCTAGTCTATTTGATCAGTTTCTGTAACCTGAAATATTGGGGAATAGAGGGTGGAGTCTTTGTAGCTTTCCTCACTGAAGGCCCCTCATCTCCTGATTCAAATTGGTTGAACCACTCTGTAGAACCCTGAATGCTATAGGAATTCAGTGAGAATCAGACTCATGAAGTCAGACCTATTAATAGAACCTAGTATGACATTTCCTGGGACAGTCGTTTATTCCTACACTTAATTTTCATAATTAGGAGGGGTCATTCACTGACTTACTAGATATTTACTGTGTCAACCATGTACCAGAAACTGTCTTAGGACTTGGATATAGCAATTAACACAACAGATAATGTTTCTGCTCTTTTGGAACTTATGTTGTAAGGTAGGAAAAAAGACAATGAACAAATCATATACATCAATTAGTGATGAATGTTCTGAAGGAAGAATAAGGGTATACAAAGTGATGGGGCTAGTGCCTTATTTCATATAGAATGATTATAGAAATATTGGCCGGGCGCAGTGGCTCACGCCTGTAATCCCAGCTCTCAGGGAGGCCAAGAGGCGGGAGGATAGCTTGAGCCCAGGAGTTCGAGACCTGCCTGGGCAATATAGCGAGACCCCGTTCTCCAGACAAAGGAAAAAAAAAAAAACAAAAGACAAAAAAAAAAAAAAGAAATATTATATATCACTCTATGTAATATAAGACACTACCCCCATCACTCTGTATACCTATATACCTGAGAAGCCTTCATCTTCAGTGAAGGCTTCTCACCTAGTATCTCATTTGAGAACAAAAGTGACAAAGCAAGCCATGTGGACATTTTGAGGGACTCCCTTCTAGGCAGAGGAAAATATGATTGCCAAGAGGCAGGAGGGTACTTGGAATACTTGAGGAATATCCAGGAATCCATTGTTATTGCATCAGCATTTGTAGGAGAATAATAGGAGATGAAATCAGAGAATCTGTGGGGTGGGTCATAAGGAGGTAATTTAGGGTCCTGCATGCTGTGGTTAGGCTTTGGATTTCATTATGAGTGATGGGAAGCCAAGGAATGTCTGTCAACAAAATTTTGACATGATTTTATTTCTGTTTTATAAGGATTACTAGATACTGTGTAAATACTGTTACCTGTAAAAGGGGCATGGTTAGAAACAGGGAGACTAGTTTAGCAGTGCATTGCAGTAGTATAGTGACAGATGATCAAGCTTTCAATTAGGGTGTTAGAAGTGTTAAGAAGTAGTTGGTTAGGAATATATGTTGAAGATAGAGCTTTATGGGATTTATCAATGAATTAAATTGGAGGTATGAGAGTCTCTTAGACCATTTGTGGTGCTATGACAAAATACCTGAGACTGAGCAATTTACAAATAACAGAAATTTATTTCTTACAATTCTGGAGGCTGGGAAGTATAAGATTAAGGTGCTGACATTCATGTCTGGTGAGGTTCTACTTGCTGCATTCTCACATGGTAGAAGGGGTGAATGCTGTGTCTTCACAAGTGGAAGACAGAAGGGCAAAAGAGGGCCTAGCTAGTTCTCTCCAGCCCTTTTATAAGGTTGCTAATTCTGTTCATGAGAGCAGAGCTCTAGTGGTCTAATTATCTCCTAAAGACCTTACCTCCTAATACTTTTGCATTGGGGATTCAGTTTCAACATGAACACAAACATTTAAACCACAGCAGAAAGAGAGAGGAGCCTATGAGGATACTGAGTTTTCCGGCATAAACAACTGAAATTGTGGAGATACCATTTATTCAAACAAAGTAGATTGGAGGAAGTGTTGGTTTTGGGTGGTGAAGGAGTAATCATAAGTTTGGATTTGGGCATATTAAGTTTGAAATGCCTTTCAGATATCCAAGTAAACATGTTAAGTATGCAATTGGATATATTAGCCTGGAGTCAAAGAGGTACATTAGTGATAATGATTAAATTTGAATCCTTAGCATTTAAATGGTATTTAAAGCCATAGTATTGGATGAAATTACCTAGATGGTGTCAGTAGAGAATGGAAGCAAAGAGCATTGACATCTGAGGAGTGGGACATTCCAGTGATTCAAGTTTACAAGATGAGTAGGTGACAGTTGAAAGGAGGAGAATGACAGTAAATGATATTTCAAGAGCCAAGTAAAGAACATATTTCAAAATCACATTGGCCACTGGCTTTGACAACATGGAGCTCACTGATTGATTACATTAACAAGAGCAATTATAGTTTTAGAGGTGTATGTAAGGGAGGGAGTGGATTCAGGAAGTAGAGACAACTCTTTCAGAAGAGATTTATGTCAAGAAAGCAGACAATCATGATATGTTTGGTGGGTGCTATGAGGTCAAAGTACTTTTTTTTTCAAGTTGATAGATATTAATGCATTATCATAGGGGAAGGGGAAGGATTTAGTAGATAGTATAATAAGTTGATGATACAGGAAACAGAAGGGAAAATTGTACTTTACATAGGTGAGAATCTCACTTAAATAGGTGAGAAAGGAACAGCCTGGGCAACACCGTGAGATCCAGTCTCTACAAAAAATTTTAAAATTAGCCAGGTGTGGTGGTGCCTGCCTGTGGTCCCAGCTACATGGAAGCCTGAGGCAGGAGGATCACATGAGCCTGGGAGGTAGAGGCTTCAGTAAGCTGTGTTTGTTACACTGCACTCCAGCCTGGGTGACAGAGAGAGACCCTATCTCACTTAAAAAAAAAAAGATACGGTGCAAACTTGTTAGGCTGGTATTAGATGGGAGTTTATACTTCCATCTGGGGTTTCTGGGGTATGGATGGAAATCAGAGTACAAGAGTACCAGAAGGTAGAGGGATATATTTGGTTGAAGGAATTATTCATTCATTCATTTATCTAACAAGTGCTTATTAAGTGTTAATATACTAGGTGATTTTTCTAGGTATTGAGGATACAGTAGGGACCACAATAGTTACAAATTCCTGCAGTTTATTTCTAATGAGGGGTGACCAAGAATAAAGAAAATAAATGCATAATTTAAATAATACGGCATATTGTGCTAGGTAACATGGATAAATTCTAACTTAAAGTGAATAAGTTAATTTGTGGACATACATTTTGCTATCATTATTATTGTAATATATTTTTTGAGATAATTATGTTAATTAAATAGAAAAAAAAGTTTATGGTAAGCATATGGTGACTAAACCAGTGCCCAATCAACATTCAATCCATGAATGACTTAAATTTACAAATGGCCTCCTTCATTATGTATTTACTAACATCATAGAACACTGCTGGAATTCCAAAGAGAAGCAGAAGCCTGATCATTTGTTTTGAGTTCAGAAGTAAAACAGAGGAAGAATCTGTGGAAAGTGGAAACACTTTAGGAGAACCAGGAACAGACTTTCAAAATAACAGATGTGAGGCGTGGTTGACCTAACTAGCTGTTTGACCTTTTTTTTTTCCTCTTTACTTTTTAACATACCTGGATCAAATAAAAATTTGAGTTAAAAATGAAAATAACTCATATGTACAATACTGAGGTCAGAACACACAGCAAAAACTAGGCAAATTGAGAATCC
Source organism: Homo sapiens (assembly GCF_000001405.40). Lineage (NCBI taxonomy): Eukaryota > Metazoa > Chordata > Mammalia > Primates > Hominidae > Homo > Homo sapiens. The sequence continues at coordinate 88,978,572 of NC_000005.10, forward strand.
TGTATTTTGGAATAAAAATAGCTTTAAGCTAGGAGCCAGAAATCTTGGAATCCATACTCAAGGCTGCTATTGTCTACATATGTAACTTGTATAAATCTCTTAAATTCATTCAACCTTAATTTCCCTATGTTCAGAATGTGGGTAAAAATAACTGTATTGTCTAGCTCAAAAGGCTGTTAACTTCTTTTAACTAGAAAGATCAGTATGTTATGCACATCTGAAGATATATGAGGAATACAGTTAGATAGAATGAATAAGAGGTAGCATTTGGTAGCACAATAGGGTGACTACAGGTAAGAATCATTGTTTGTATATTTTAAAGCAACTAAAAGAGTAGGATTAGAATGTTCCTAACACAAGGAAATGATAAATGCTTAAGGTGACAGATACCCCAGTTACCCTGTTTGATCATTGCACATTTTATGCCTGTATCAAAACATTATCTGTACCCCATAAATGTATAACTATTGTATACCCATGATAATTAAAAATAAGTAATTTACAAAATTAAAATATGAGGAAATTGAGTCTTAGGTCAAACAATTTGTCTAAGATGACATAGTACATAATGTTAAGACCAACGTTGAATCCAGGCTTCTCTGATACTAAAACCTAAGCTATTAACATGTTTTGCAGCATCCAGCAAGCAAGAACAATCAACTGAGATGAAGAAGATATGAAAATACTTGGCAAATAGCTTTCATTCTCATGTCAGCTTTAGTGTTTACCGTCATGTTCACTGCGGGTTGGTTTCAGAGGAAGGGTAAAAAATAATCCCTTCAAACATTCTTCCCATGCAGCCAATGCTTCATTCTCCTCTGGATGCTGCCTTACTTTGAATTGCTTCATTCACCCGCTTTGCAGGCCACATTCAGCAGGGGATGAACATTTAGTGGTTGATTACCAATTTCCTGTGAGCTAAATGGAAAAGCTGAGTAATAAGGGTTTTTTTTTTGTCTTTTTCTATTATGCAAAAATCTATGAGTTATGTAGGGTATAAGTTAGGACATATCAGTGCACTTAAAGTTTGCAAATATGCATTTACAAATTAGCTTACTGCCAAAGTCACTTGTATTTGTACACATCTAATGTTTTTTCTACTCAGCAGCAATGTTACAGATGAACTTGAAAGACAGAAGTAGTATTTTCATGCTAATGTGCCATAAAATGTCTTTGCTAAATAAGCGATCCTTCCATAGCAAGGTTTATTTGCAGTGATATAATTTAGAGGTGTCCCTGATGACAACCTTTTGAGCCATATTAGTTAAATGATAGAACATCTCCAGTGTCAAATCTATAGCAATATATTATAATGGGGAAAAATGCCTGAGCAGCAGGGAGCCTTTAATACAGAACTCCATAGGCCACTTAAATAGTGTAATCTGGCTTTCAAGTAGAGCATTCTAAAGAACCTCTATGAACCTTGCTTTGGGGTTTCAGAGAATCGGAATGATATTGAGGACAAAGCTCTGTTCTGGATCTACCTGTCACTGAAATGCTCATGCTGCTCTTCTACAAAGCCAGGTGGGATCGTTTTTCTAGGAAACATCAATTACTTCTGCTTTTGCTCAGAAATGGCACAGTTATTTTTAGATATATTTTCCACTGGTCTACAAAGTATTACAATTGCCATAACATATTGGGTAGTGTCATAATGGTGAAAGGATTCCTGAGCAAAATATGCCTCCCCACGATACTGCCATACACATCTTTGAAAAACAGCAGGATTATATATCCTATAACTTCCTGTACCACTAGCAATGTGTCAATATGAATGGCGAATGAATGAATTAGAATTTTATAGATTTCCAACATAATTAAATTCATGGATACTTTTTTTCTCTGAGAGTCAGCTGTGAAGTTTTGGGTTTGAAATAGCCTTATCTGAATAAAATGAACCTGGTTCTAGTGGCTTATCAAATCCCAGGTAGTAAGTCAGCCACCTTTGGAAGTTGCATTAACACAGCAGTAGCTTAATAAATTATACTCTGCTGATTTGACTTCCACTGGTACTTAGTTTACAACAGGAAATGATCCTGGTGTATGGAGAATCAAGCTTATCATGATCTAGTTACTTGTTCTTATGCAATGCATATATGCAGCCGAGGAGTTTACAATAATCATTTTGTAAAAACATATATATATATACACACACACACATTATATACACACACATATACATATATATATATATATATATATGGAGTCTTGTGAGGGTAAACTTCTTGACTGAAGAATTAATACCTAGAATCATGACAACTTTTTCTTTCTTGGAATCTCTTCAGTTTGTCTTCCATGGTAATAGCTATGATATGCAGAAAATGAAACGTTGTGTCATTACAGCCTCTTAAGGAAAAATTTTCCCAGTTGCTCCCTCAGCTGTCTTCAACCTACTGGTACATTTTCAAACCAGCTATGATAAAGAAGAAAGTCAAACACTTTGATCTTTTGTTCAAAAACTATTTTGTAAATTGCAGTCTTGCAAAGATTCCTCTATCCATCCATCTATACATTCAGTTATCCATCTGTTTATCAATTTATTGTTTTATTCATTTAATAAATAGAGAACTCTCACTTTAATAGTTTTTTTGTAGTTTCCTGGACTTTACAAAATTTAAACCAAAAGTGGCCTACACCATAAAAATTACTAAATTTCAGCTTCAGCAGAAATATTTGCTAATAATAACTTGCTTCAAATAGCTAGACTGGGTCAGCCATCTCTGTTACTTGGTATCCAGCTAAGGTGGACATTGAATTATTATTCTGTAATAAAGACTGTCATTGGCAAGCTCATTTAGGTACTCTACATTTGTACTGTAGCTGAATGCACTGTACCTAACCTTGGGATAAACAGAAGATTTTGGTTTTCAATCCTGTTGGTGTTTCAGCTGTAAAATACATACATATTATCTCTTTCATAAAACTGTAGAATTCATGTTCAGAATTAAACACCAACAAACAAGGTTGGAGTTCTCAAGTCAACCTGAAAATAGCACACAATTTGTCAGGGAGATGGTGACATTTAAATTAGTTATTAATCTTTTTGGTAGACTTTCTAACATCAATCCCTAGCTCACTCTGTCCCTCTTGGTGTTTTCATTTTTAATAAGAAAAGCCATTGTAATAAATGCAAAATTAATTCAAATTCTTTAAATTAAATTGCGAAAGGTGTTTAATTAAATGTATGGATTGCAATTTACTCAATCGATACACTTATTTATTTCAATTCACTGAGTGGGGGATTTTAAAGTCAGTTTTATTGAAGTGCATCAGGATATACGAGTCCAAGATTCCAAGATACTAAAGATTGTGCCAGGAGGAAGCAAATGTTGATATCAATTGCTCTTTAATTTCAGGAGACAGTTTTCCCTTCAGCTGATGTGAGGCAACTCATGTTCACTAATGAGTCTGGCTTAAACTCTTGCAGAAATGTTTATTATCATTGTCTGGACTTAGGAAACTATTTGAGATATTTGATTTCAGAACTCTATCAAGTTCTCATGGTACAGAGTAACATCTGATCATTTGATGTGGTCATCTCAGGCAAAGGACAATTGAGTGGAAAAGAAGATTCTATCCCATACGCCCATATGATGTATTATCTTCAGCTTGTAAAATATTTTATTCCTCATGATATCGTACTGAATTGTGTTCTTTAGAGAGTCTTGTATCTTTTACAATAGCTTTTTAATTTCAGTGACCTAGGGGGGACAATTTTCTTTATTTGCATATTGGTTGAACAGATACTGAATGAGAATCCTGAAAGTGTTTTGGATATTCTATATGTTTTTAATTAAGGACAATTACACAGAGATGTAGACATTGTTATAAGGCAGCTGGTGTACTGTGGAATGGTGGCATTCTGTGTTCAGTGTGGAACTTTATGTGTCAGTTTGTGGTAAAAGCCCAAGGCATCCATCAAAAAATGTTTAACAATCCACTGCTTCTGGAGACCAGATAGTTTTCCAGAGGATTAATACCTCAAACATCTTAAATTGGTGACTTCCATTATTTAGAGATGCAGATCTTATTTTTTAGTTGTTGACTTTCAAAGGCATATTCTTTCTCTCTTTGGATAAATTCTTCAATAACAAAAAAGACTTACATGTATGGAAGGCTTATGGAAGGCTTACACATAATCTTTAAAGAGTTGGGCATTTAGAAACATGATCATTTGCATTTTTCTTCTTTGAAAGTTTAACCCCTAAATTATTGCCCTTTAGAGAGAAAAGCTTTGGAATTTATCATTTTTTTCTCTTTTCCTTGAAAACTGGAACACTCTTCTTTTTAGCATATAGCATCTAAGGTAATGAGGAACACACCAGTACATTAAAGCAAATGTGTGTCAAATCCCCAGGGAAAACATATGTCATGCATGCAATATTTCCTGCAGACATCTGAAATCCAGCATCATTGTTCTTTCAATCTGTTTTCTAAGCAAATGAAACAATGGGGAGTATATGTAAATCTTTCTATATTAGAATTTAAGAAATATTTCAACTGGAGAAGTTCAAAGCTTACCTTTGGTGTCAAGATATAAAGAGCTTAGACTTAGGAAAACTGGATTAGGAAATGTGCATATTCCCACTGATTATTCCACAGCTCTACTGTTTTCCCATTCATTTTCACAATCTGTGATGAAGTAGAAGCCTGAAATGCTCTAAATAAGAACATCATTTTATGGACATTTTAAACAACATGTTGAATGTGAAAGATCATAAACTTAATTTAGTTTTCCTAATTTTAACTATGATTTATGAGTTTTCCTATTGTGAGAAGACTTGGTGGTCAACAGTAACTTTGGACTATTGAAAAGTCCAGATTTAAGATAAACATTCATATTTTATTTAAAAAAAAGTGTTAGTGTGTGCTACTATGTATGAAAGTGTGTGTTTATATGTTAAAATAAGAGCCGGAAGAGCAATCCCCTGTAATTCAAATGTTGACCTTCACTTAAAAAGTCCCAGGACATTTACATTTCCTGCTCCTTCTTACAAGAGTTTAATGTTGGAATTTTGTTATAACTTTGTGTATGTTCTCCCTGTGACAGATCCTGATGTTAGAGATCTAACTTCTTGTGGAGATATGCAATTTATGGATTCTTCTGGTATTCTGATGGTTTCCAATAGTTACCAATAATTTTTGAGTTTCATCTTTCTTTGACTTATCTTTAAACTCTCTTATTTGCTGTGCATATGGATATGTTGCTAATGTAGGGTAGAAAATATAATGTGTGAGTTGGCATTATGCTTCTCTATACTGATGGTGTGAGTGTTTTTCATATCTTATGAAATAGAGATCAGAGAAGGTAAATTTATTTGATGAAAACAGTAAACTTCTTCCATTCTCTCAAGCGTCTACTCCCTCCCTACTTCCCATCCCCAGGCACCAAAAATTGAATGGTTATAAGCAAAGGGGAGAGGAGGGTAGCAAGAGTGCCCTCCCATTATCAAGTTATTTTTCTCCATTGTGTGAACTCTAGTTCTACTCAGATTTCCATAGTTCTTTATACAGAAATAATATTGTTTTGTTATATTTGTTTTTATGGTCAACATTGCTTGTCTTAACTCTTCCCCCAAAAAACACCCTGGACACACAGGACAATGGAACCTCCCTTAATTTTCTCTGAGGTTGCTGTGTTTGCACACCGTGACCTTGGACTATGGCCTAGTTTGACTGAGGAGAGCTTTTTAAGAGGCTTTTGTGTAGAGAGGGAACTGGCATAAAGAGTGCCAGTTTTGTGTTTCTGTTTGGAATTGGGTGTAGGGAAGGATGAGAGCATATACAATGAGAGGAAGTGAGTAAAAAGAGGTTTTTTAAAATATGTAAGTGATTAGAATGCTATCATGCTAGCCTTCTTTACTTGGCTTTGCTGAATTGTCCAATCAGTAAGTATATCAAGGAAAACCTTAACAATGTAATCTAGAAAAGTTTTTTTGTTTGTTTTTGTTTTTGTTTTGACATTGCCTTTAGATTGAATAAACCACACTGTAGCCCAGAAGCAAGAACATAAAGATATTTCTCCTGAGGACTGGAGATACCCTCATGATATCCTAGCTCAGGATGTGTCCACATGAAGCTAATGAATTAGCTATATTATTTGGTTACCTTTCTTCACTATTTGTTATTTAAACATACTGGAAAAGCAACCTGGGCAATTGTGTCTTAGCTGTATATCTTTTTAGTATATATAAAGAGCATGTAGATATTTCAATCCATGTTCCAAACAGACTCATCCTCAAGTGTAATGTTGTCCTTTAAAATGAGGCAAAAGGGTAGCCCAATATCAAATTGAAGTGCTGATATGGTTTGCCCCTGTGTTCCCACCCAAATCTTACCTTGAATTGTAATAATCCCCACATGGCATGGGAGGGCCTCGTGGGAAGTAACTGAATCATGAGGGCGGTTTTTCCCATGCTGTTCTAGTGATAATGAATAAGTCTCACGAGAGGTGATGTTTTAATAAATTGAAGTTCCCCTGCGCATGCCCTCTTGCCTTCTGCCATGTAAGACGTGCCTTTGCTTCCCTTCTCCTTTGCCTTCCACCATGAGTGTGAGGCCTCCCAGCCACATGGATCTGTGAATACATTAAACTTTTTTCCTTTATAAATTACTCAGTCTCGAATATGTCTTTATTAGCAGCATGAGAACAGACTAATACCAGTTCATATATTCCTCTCACACTTTTTCAATTTGATTGTAGTTGGGAAACATTTAGGGCAACAGCAAAATTAAGCAAATGACAAAGAATTGCAGATATAACAAGTTTTTCGGAATTTTATGGTGACTCCGAAAGCCAAATCTTGGAAATTTGATTATTGATTTGTTGAACATATCGTCACTTTGATATAATGTGCTAAAGCTTTATATTATTTTCATGGAGTATTCAGGATAATTTTGTGGTATAATTTAATAACTATATCTATTGCAAATACTCATTCCCAATACAGAATTCAGTCTTTTCATTAGCGTGGTTGTACACTTGTAGAAGGGTCTTGTGATTTATCCATTATTAGGAAAGGTTTTGTTTTCAGACTGTTGGCTGCTTACCTAAGAACTATCCAGTCTTGTTGATATGCTAGCAAAACACACCCTGTTGGGTCTTATTGCTTAAATATTCCCACTTCTAAAATTACCACTGCACCATTGGGGGTGAATGAATACACGATTACAATTTCAATTTGACAGTTTTAAAGGAAATGGCATAGGGATTTAATTAGACCCTCTCCATGTGCTTCATTGATTCTTAGATGGGTTTTCATTCTAGCATAAGCAGATGTGGATTCTAACATAGAAGTTAGAACTTCTTGTACCTGGCTGGGTTATTCAAATCAGTAAAACAGTCAACCGTTGCTTGAATATGCAAAATCTGAAAGCAAACTGGTTTGGGAATGCTGAGAAGTAGTTTCACCCTTTATCTCCTTTCCTTTTTGAAATAGGATTGATGCCATCAAGAAAATAATGATCTTTGTGGCTTTTTTTGTGTCTATGGTGTGTATTGAAAAGGGAAATTAGGCTCGAGTAAAATATTTTTATTTTCAGCAGTAGTAGAAACTTCCTGATTTTATTAGAAGAAAAATATTATAGTTTTTTTCAACTAAACAAAATAACAACTGAAAAAGATATGAAAGCCATTGTTAAAATAAGTTACTAGAGATTTTAAGATGGAAGTTTATTATAACACTTTAAATATTTTCTTTGAAATATCTTCATTCTTATAATGCACACAATATACATCCTCATTTCAGAATTCTAGAAATCCCAATGTTTATCCTAACAAATAAATGGTTAAATTTTCGAAGAATGGAGTTTGGATACAAATGAATAGTAGCAAGAAGATAATTGAAGTTGAACACAGATGTATGACAGGGCTTGCCACCAAGAGTTGCCTCACTGACTATGCAGTAGAGAGGGCCATCTTAGACTCCACAGTATGTTCAATGAGAAATATGATGTGGAAATTGTCATTTCTTTAAGCTGTCAGGCACTCCACACTTGGACCTATATAAAAGGACAGCTGTGACTTAGTTGTGTGGTGTCGATGCCATTTTCACCAAGCCTTCTAGTCCTTATCCTTCTAGCTCCTTTCCTCCTTTGATTTTATGGTTTACCTCCTCATGTGCACCCCAATAGCATTTTGTCTACCTTTTAGAACCATAACTCTGCCATCTACTTTTCCTGTCCCTTCCCTCTGGCCTAGCTGTGTTAGGTAACCTTGGGTCCTGTCAGGCTCTAGGCTACTAATAACTAGGCATCATTTCTCACCCCTAATACCACACAGAGTTTGTCCATTAGTTTTATTACTTAAGGGGAATCTAGTGAGAAAGTGGTGTCATGCATTTTTCTGTAGAAACTATTGTGTAGTATTGTACTGTGATGGAAATACACAGAGACATTGGAGAAAATTCTCAGGCAGAAATGATGTTACTTTCGGACAAGTTATGTGTGTACATATACGTTACATTTAGCTACATGTTTAGAACATTGAAATGCTTCAACTTCCCTCTCTCTTTAACTTCACTGGTATGCCATAATTGACTTTTATAGAAAAAGCTTAAAACAGTAACACAACATGAGATTTCCAGTTTTCAACTATTTGCTTCTTAATCTACCCATTATTATTATAATGTTCTTTCTGAAATATTGAAGAATTTTTGTGCTTTTCCTTTGTAACCTGTTTTCTAGGCGTTGTGTAACAGCTAACAATTAAAAAGAACTTCTGGTTTCTACCTTACAGTCTTAGGTGATACTTGTTCTCAGGGCTGTCTAATTCTCTCTCCTCGCCCCTGTTAATGGTCAGTGTCCTGCCTCGTGGACTTGCCCTTCTTGCTCTACAAAAATACAGATGCATCTTGATTTACAATGAGGTTATATCCCATAAACCCATGGTAAGTTGAAAATATCCTAAGTCGAACATTTATTAACTTTAAATTAAATATGTTAAGTGTAAAGACAATGTAAAGAATACATACATGCAGATAAAACAGATTCATTTGTTATCTAAATGTCCTTTTTACTTAATCTTTGCTCTACCTTGTATATTGTATGGTTATATGGTAGATAATGCTTACATATAATCTTCTACCCTTTTAAACTTTTTTTTCTAAAGGGAATTCTCCCTTCCCTCTCCCCCGCCCTCCTTTCCTTTCTCCCTCCTTTCTTACTTTTCTCCTTCTTTCCCTTCTAATTCTTTCTTTTTTTATGTTCCTGCAGACCACATTTATTATATACCTACAATTATTTAAATACAATGCTGAATTAGCACTCTTTAAAGAAAGGTGCTTGAATCATGACAGCTGTGGGATTGGACCTGTGCTTACCACTTATAAACTGTATACCTGTAGTGATGTAACTCAATCCTTCAGCACTTTTCACTTTTGCATCTCTAAATTTATTATAATAATACTAAAGACTACCTAATAGAGTTGCTATAAAGAATAAAAACAAGATAGCTCGTAAAAGCCTTCCCAAGAGCATACAGATGGTCTCCAACTTCGGATGGTTCAACTTAGAAGTTTTTTACTTTACCATGGTGCAAAAGCAATGTGCATTTAGTAGAAACCATACTTAGGATTTTGAATTTTGATCTTTTCCCAGGCTAGCAATATGCATTACAATACTCTTACATGACCTATTTGGCACTTTGTTATAAACTGGGCTTTGCCTTAGATGATTTTGGCCGAGTGTAGGATAATGAAAGTGTTCTGAGCACGTTTAACGTGGGCTAGGCTGAGCTAGCTTACATGTATTAAATGCATTTGTAACTTAGGATATTTTCAACTTAGCATGGGATTACAGGGTGTAACCTCATTGTAAATCAAGGAGCAACTGTGTTTTGGTAGGGCAAGAAGGGCGACGCCATGAGGGAGGACACGGACTATTGACAGGGTGAGGAGAGAGAATTAGACAGCGCTGAAGACAAGGATCACCTATGTCGTCATGTTGCTTGAAAAATCTCTCATAGAGGTTTTTATGGTTTAGGTCTAACATTTAAGTCTTTAATCCATCTTGAATTAATTTTTGTATAACGTGTAAGGAAGGGATCCAATTTCAGTTTTCTACATATGGCTAGCCAGTTTCCCCAGCACCATTTATTAAATAGGGAATCCCTTCTCCATTTCTTGTTTTTGTCAGGTTTGTCAAAGATGAGATGGTTGTAGATGTGTGGTATTATTTCCGAGGGCTGTATTCTGTACCATTGGCCTATATCTCTGTTTTGGTACCAGTACCATGCTGTTTTGGTTACTGCAGCCTTGTAGTATAGTTTGAAGTCAGGTAGTGTGATGCCTCCAGCTTTGTTCTTTTGGCTTAGGATTGTCTTGGCAATGCGGGCTCTTTTTTGGTTCCACATGAACTTTAAAGTAGTTTTTTCCAATTCTGTTAAGAAAGTCTTTGGTAGCTTGTTGGGGATGGCATTGAATCTATAAATTACCTTGGACAGTATGGCCATTTTCACGATATTGATTCTTCCTATCCATGAGCATGGAATGTTCTTCCATTTGTTTGTGTCCTCTTTTATTTTGTTGAGCAGTGGTTTGTAGTTCTCCTTGAAGAGGTCCTTCACATTCCTTCTAAGTTGGATTCTTAGGTATTTTATTCTCTTTGAAGCAATTGTGAATGGGAGTTCACTCACGATTTGGCTCTCTGTTTGTCTGTTATTGGTGTATAGGAATGCTTGTGATTTTTGCACATTGATTTTGTATCCTAAGACTTTGCTGAAGTTGCTTATCAGCTTAAGGAGATTATGGGATGAGACGATGGGGTTTTCTAAATATACAATCATGTCATCTGCAAATAGGACAATTTGACTTCCTCTTTTCCTAATTGAATATCCTTTATTTCCTTCTCTTGCCTGATTGCTCTGGCCAGAACTTCCAACACTATGTTGAATAGGAGTGGTGAGAGAGGACATCCCTGTCTTGTGCCGGTTTTCAAAGGGAATGCTTCCAGTTTTTGCCCATTCAGTATGATATTGGCTGTGGGTTTGTCATAAATAGCTCTTATTATTTTGAGATACATCCCATCAATACCTAGTTTATTGAGAGTTTTTAGCATGAAGGCTGTTGAATTTTGTCAAAGGCCTTTTCTGCATCTATTGAGATAATCATGTGGTTTTTGTCTTTGGTTCTGTTTATATGATGCATTATGTTTATTGATTTGCGTATGTTGAACCAGCCTTGCATCCCAGGGATGATGCCAACTTGATCGTGGTGGATAAGCTTTTTGATATGCTGCTGGATTTGGTTTGCCAGGATTTTACTGAGGATTTTTGCATTGATATTCATCAGGGATATTGGTCTAAAATTCTCTTTTCTTTGTTGTGTCTCTGCCAGGGTTTGGTATCAGGATGATGTTGGCCTCATAAAATGAATTAGGGAGGATTCCCTCTTTTTCTATTGATTGGAATAGTTTCAGAAACAATGGTACCAGCTCCTTTTTGTACCTCTGGTAGAATTAGGCTGTGAATCTGTCTGGTCCTGGACTTTTTTTGGTTGGTAGGCTATTAATTATTGCCTCAATTTCAGAACCTGTTATTGGTCTATTCAGGGATTTAAATTCTTCCTGGTTTAGTCTTGGGAGGATGTATGTGTCAAGGAATTTATCCATTTCTTCTAGATTTTCTAGTTTATTCACGTAGAGGTGTTTATAGGATTCTCTGATGGTAGTTTGTATTTCTGTGGGATTGGTGATGATATCCCCTTTATCATTTTTTATTGTATCTTTTTGATTCTTCTCTCTTTTCTTCTTTATTAGTCTTGCTAGCAGTCTATCAATTTTGTTGATCTTTTCAAAAATCCCGCTCCTGGATTCATTGATTTTTTTAAGTTCTTTTTGTGTCTCTATCTCCTTCAGTTCTTCTCTGATTTTAATTATTTCTTGCCTTCTGCTAGCTTTTGAATGTGCTTGCTCTTGCTTCTCTAGTTCTTTTATTTGTGATGTTAGGATATCAATTTTAGACCTTTCCTGCTTTCTCTTGTGGGCATTTAGTGCTATAAATTTCCCTCTACATACTGCTTTAAATGTGTCCCAGAGATTCTGGTATGTTGTGTCTTTGTTCTCATTGGTTTCAAAGAACATCTTTATTTCTGCCTTCATTTTGTTATGTACCCAGTAGTCATTCAGGAGCAGGTTGTTCAGTTTCCATGTAGTTGAGTGGTTTTGAGTGAGTTTCTTAATCCTGAGTGCTAGTTTGTTTGCACTGAGGTCTGAGAGACAGTTTGTTATAATTTCTGTTCTTTTACATTTGTTCAGGAGTGCTATTTTACTTCCAACTATGTGGTCAATTTTGGAATTGGTGTGATGTGGTGCTGAGAAGAATGTATATTCTATTGATTTGGGGTGGAGAGTTCTGGAGATGTCTATTAGGTCCACTTGGTGCAGAGCTGAGTTCAATTCCTGGATATCCTTGTTAGCTTTCTGTCTCGTTGATCTGTCTAATGTTGGCAGTGGGGTGTTAAAGTCTCCCATTATTATTGTGTAGGAGTCTAAGTCTCTTTGTAGGTCTCTAAGGACTTGCTTTATGAATTTGGTTGCTCCTGTATTGGGTGCTATATATTCAGGATAGTTACCTCTTTTTGTTGAGTTGATCCCTTTACAATTATGTAATGGCCTTCTTTGTCTCTTTTGATCTTTGTTGGTTTAAAGTCTTTTTTATGAGAGACTAGGATTGCAAAACCTGCTTTTTTTTGTTTTCCATTTGCTTGGTAGAACTTCCTCCATCCCTTTATTCTTAGCCTATTTGTGTCTTGGCATGTAAGATAGGTCTTCTGAATACAGCACACTGATGAGTCTTGACTCTTTATCCAATTTGCCAGTCTGTGTCTTTCAATTGGAGCATTTAGTCCATTTACACTTAAGGTTAATATTGTTATGTGTGAATTTGCTCCTGTCATTATGATGTTAGTTGGTTATTTTGCTCATTAGTTGATGCAGTTACTTCCTAGCATCGATGGTCTTTACAATTTGGCATATTTTTGCAGTGGCTGGTACCAGTTGTTCCTTTCCATGTTTAGTGCTTCCTTCAGGAGCTCTTGTAAAGCAGGCCTGGTGGTGACAAAGTCTCTCAGCCTTTGTTTGTCTGTAAAAGATGTTATTTCTCCTTCACTTATGAAGCTTAGTTTGGCTGGATATGAAATTATGGGTTGAAAATTCTTTCCTTTAAGAATGTTGAATATTGGCCCCCACTCTCTTCTGGCTTGTAGAGTTTCTGCTGAGAGATCAGCTGTTAGTCTGATGGGCTTCCCTTTGTGGGTAACCTGACCTTTCTCTCTGGCTGCCCTTAACATTTTTTCCTTCATTTCTACTTTGGTAAATCTGACAATTATGTGTCTTGGAGTTGCTCTTCTGGAGGAGTGTCTTTGTGATCTTCTCTGTATTTCCTGAATTTGAATGTTGGCCTGCCTTGCTAGGTTGGGGAAGTTCTCCTGGATAATATCCTGAAGAGTGTTGTCCAACTTGGTTCCATTCTCCCCATCACTTTCAGGTACACCAATCAGACGTAGATTTGGTCTTTTCACATAGTCCCATATTTCTTGGAGGCTTTGTTCATTTCTTTTTTCTCTAAACTTCTCTTCTCGCTTCATTTCATTCATTTGATCTTCAATCACTGATAACCCTTTCTTCCACTTGACCAAATCGGCTACTGAAGCTTGTGCATGCATCACATAGTTCTTGTGCCATGGTTTTCAGCTCCATCAGGTCATTTAAGGACTTCTCTACACTGTTTATTCTAGTTAGCTGTTCGTCTCATCTTTTTTCAAGGTTTTTAGCTTCTTTGTAATGGATTCGAACATCCTCCTTTAGCTCAGAGAAGTTTGTTATTACTGATCTTCTGAAGCCTTCTCTCAACTTGTCAAAGTCATTTTGCATCCAGCTTTGTTCGGTTGCTGATGAGGAGCTGTATTCCTTTGGAGGAGAAGAGGTGCTCTGATTTTTAGAATTTTCAGCTTTTCGGCTCTGGTTTCTCCCCATCTTTGTGGTTTTATCTACCTTTGGTTTTGATGATGGTGACGTACAGATGGGGTTTTAGTGTGGATGTCCTTTCTGTTTGTTAGTTTTCCTTCCAACAGTCAGGACCCTCAGCTGCAGGTCTGTTGGAGTTTGCTGGAGGTCTGCTAGACAATACCATTCAGACCATAGGCATGGGCAAGGACTTCATGACTAAAACACCAAAAGCAATGGCAATAAAAGCCAAAATTGACAAATGGGATCTAATTAAACTAAACAGCTTCTGCACAGCAAAAGAAACTACCATCAGAATTAACAGGCAACCTACAGAATGGGAGAAAATTTTTACAATCTACCCATCTGACAAAGGGCTAATATCCAGAATCTACAAAGAACTTACACAAATTTACAAGAAAAAATCAAACAACCCCATCACAAAGTGGGCAAAGGATATGAACAAACACTTCTCAAAAGAAGACATTTATGCAGCCAACAGACATGAGAAACTGCTCATCATCACTGGCCATCAGAGAAATGCAAATCAAAAGCACAATGAGATACCATCTCACACCACTTAGAATGGCAATCATTAAAAAGTCAGGAAACAACAGGTGCTGGAGAGGATGTGGAGAAATAAGAACACTTTTACACTGTTTGTGGGACTGTAAACTAGTTCAACCATTGTGGAAGACAGTGTGGCAATTCCTCAAGGATCTAGAACTAGAAATATCATTTAACCAAGCCATCCCATTACTGGGAGTATACCCAAAGGATCATAAATCATGCTGCTATAAAGACACATGCACACGTATGTTTATTGTGGCACTATTCACAATAGCAAAGACTTGGAACCAACACAAATGTCCACCAATGATAGACTGGATTAAGAAAATGTGGCACATATACACCATGGAATACTATGCCACCATAAAAAAGGATGAGTTCATGTCCTTTGTAGGGACATGGATGAAGCTGGAAACCATCCTTCTAAGCAAACTACCGCAAGGACAGAAAATCGAACACCGTATGTTCTCACTCACCATGGGTGGGAATTGAACAATGAGAACACTTGGACACAGGGTGGGGAACATCACACACTGGGGCCTGTTATGGGGTGGGGGGAAGGGGAGGGATAGCATTAGGAGATATACCTAATGTAAATGATGAGTTAACAGGTGCAGCACACCAACATGGCACATCTATACATATGTAACAAACCTGCACATTGTGCACATGTACCCTAGAACTTAAAGTATAATACAACAACAACAACAACAACAACAGAAACTGGAAAAAAAAGAGAAATCTCTCATAAGAAAGCTGTCTTAGTTTATGTTATCTTTGCATCTTTCCATTTTTTTGGACATAATTTATGATGTAGCTATGCAATGTCTTGAAAAAGCAGTGGACTGAGAGTTGGAACATTGGTGTTCCAGTCTTGACCTTGCACTGACCAGCATGTGATATGCCATTTTACTTTCTTAGACATCATCTTCCCCCCTACTAAACTTAAAGAATGAAATAAAGTTAATGCATAGGACTCCTACAGTTCTTAAAATGATATGTGATTCTAAGTTATTAAAACATCCTTGACTAGTTAAAGTATAATATTTTAATGTCAGTATTTCCAGATCTGTTACAAAGACCATATAGACATTTTATCTATGTACAGTGGTCAGAGGAGTTCAGAGAACAATTTGAAATATTGAGGTAGAATTGAGCTCTCCTTTCTTAAAACTCCTCTGAGACCTGGGCTCGATTTGTAGGTTCTGGCAAAGTCAAGAACCACAGTGTTCTATCATGTTTTGGGAGGGAGGTAGTCTTTTCTTCTCTACTGAAGAGCACTGCATTAGAAAACAGAAGTACTGGGATCTACCCATGGTTTTATCACTGATTAGACAACTATGGGCAAAGGAAATGACTCTCTTCTTTGGACATAATTTTTCTTGTCTGTAGAATGAGCCAGATATTCTAGAAAATCTTTGAATTCTTCTATTACCAAACAACCCAATTACAGTCCTAGTTAGGAACATCTAATAGATTCATGAGCTTAAAAAGTTTGGATTGGAATGCTCTTCTTAATGTGTCAAAGCAGGTCAAATTACAAATTTTCAATGAAAAAAATCCTGTTGCTATCTCCAGTCTTAACCACATGTAATCATTTATCTTTCATGAAAAGAGTAATTGTTATATTGTAGATATGGACTTAAGGTCTCTAATGTGTTTGAATTAGTTAGAAACCAAACACATACACACACACACACATACACACACACACACAGTGATCTTATAAATAACAAGTAAATTCTCTTCCCAACAAGGACACTAAATTTAGGCTGGGGAAGCATTCCGCATGCTTTTAAACATAGATCTAGTGTCTAATATGTCTAATAGCTAAGATTACTGTATCATAATGTAGTTTTTTTTTCTAGTTTTCCTCCTTTGATAAGGTTTTACAATACCAGGGTAGACACTGGTTCACTTTAAGGACCAGTAAAAAAACAGATTTTACTTTTATTATGTTCGGCCTTATATTTTCAATTGAAATATTTTGCTCATTTACTCAATTTGAAAAGACTGCTCATTGTTTAAGAATCACCATTGATTAAATAATAATCAAATTACAAGTAAATAATAAGTTTTCAAAAGGGAAAAAGAAATATTGACATATTAAAAGTATACGTTGATTAAAAACTGCTTCCTGACTTTAGAATTCATAATTGTGAAAAATAAATGTCTTGAGTCAAGGAAATATGATCAATCACTGAAGTAGGGGGTAGGCATACTTGTGATATTATCCCGAATTCCCTGATTCTCCTGGGAAGCTCTTCTGCTGGACCTTCCCATTGAACTCTGGGATATCCTGGATACCAACAGGCAGCAGTGCCTCATGTGCAGCATCTCTGCATTTGGATCTTGAGCTGCTTTGATAAGTTCCTCTGATTAAATGCAGTTGCACTATCATACCCTCTGAAAACTGCTGGTGGAAATATTAAAACAATCACTCAGTTTCCCATGTTACAAATCCCCAGATCTTATTGCATCGTGTAAATAAGCTGCTTCCCTCCCACAAAAAGTAAGACACAGAGCTCTTAGAAACAGAGCCAGGTTGAAAAGTTTTTGAGAAGCAAAAAATCCCCCCCACAATAAAGAAAACCCACAACAAATTAAGAAAAATTGTGATTTTGCCAATTCACTGGCAGAAACTTATTGCTACATTGTTGAGAGAAATTAAATAATAATAGTTATAAGTATGAAATTAAACTTTGGAATCTACATAATCTTGGATTAACTGACCAAAAAGTGAAATTAAAGATACATTCTGACACAAGGACCTTATTACAGATTTGAATTCAAATTCTGGCCAGTGTGGAAATAACATTGTAAATCTTAAAAGTACCAATTTGACTTGGTCTTATACTTGCTATTGATTGTTCAAATTGCTAACCAAAAGCTATATTTTCCATCATAGCTACATTGTTCCCTGAATTTAAGATACAAAGCCAGGAAGTCCTGTTATTCTGCTGTACTTAAATGACATGAAAATTACACTTACAAGCTACTTAGATATATGAGAAACTTCTTCAACATCTCCTATTTCCTCACACTTACTTACGTTTAAATATTCAGACATGGGTAAGGGTGCCCTCCTTACCCATTTTTGCCGTTTCTGCCAGCTGTTCATCTCCTTTCTCCTGGGCCTAAAACTTTCCTTTGACATTCAGCTATCAAGCATTCTACCCTGACAGTGTCCTGGCCTTAAAGTCTTGTGCTGTCTGTTCAAGTTAGTTCATTTTAACAGATATTCACTGGATGATTATTATGTCCAGGGTGTTTGGGGAGATGACTTGTCTTTTCCTTACCCACTTCAAACACAACTTCTCTAACTCCTATTCTGCTACGGACCCATTAGAAAGCCACAACTGATCTTTTATAACTAATCTGATATAATGATGACTTTATGTATTACCCCTGCCTGATAACTTCTGCTTTTAAATGGTGGTTGTCAAGGCCTTTAAACTAAAGTCTTGAAGTCTTAATTACCAGGAAACAAGGCAAGGTCAGTTGAAGGTGCTCAGTGCTTCTCAAATTACACCATGAAGAACTGTTTTTGTCCAACAGGAGCAAAAGTGATAGATACAAAACTAAAGTTAACTTCACTTTAATTAAAAAAAAATATAAAACAAAATGAGCAAGGACGTTTAAATATTAACTTTCTTTTCTATTACTAATTCTACCTTCTCTCTAGTTTTTTGAAATTATTATTTTTATCAAATGACCAGAATAAACTTATTACATGTTTTTTAGAAATCACCCTTGGAACAACGAAAAAGTGTCTAGAAATGATTGCTTAGCACATTAAACTTCCAAGTTAGGATTACATTTTTATACCCTTAATCAATCAACCTTTATCAATCCGCAAATGTTATCTACAGGAGCATTTTTCTGTAAGTATTTATCAAATGCTGTGTTGAAAATCAGATGGAATGAAATATTGGCATTTGGTTGAATTGATCCAGTAAATCCATGTACTATAATAAGTCAATCCATTTATAGACATTTAGTTGACACAAGAAATTTTTAAATTGTGAATGAGAGACTCATCAGTAAGAATTGGGGAAGTATGAAATACTTCTCTTTAAACAAACGTCATTTATCTGATGATTGAAGATTTGTTTAAGGAGAATAGTTTGGAGAATTTTCTTCCATGCATGAAGTGAGTTGATTGTTTGTTTCAACTGCTACTCTTAAAAGAAAATAGCTACATAGCTCTATAGTTCTTTTCTAAACCATAAATTATTGTACTATGATTTATAAAATCTAAAATAATACAACTTCTCTTTAAAATCGCAAAGAATTGTGCTTCAGTGTTCAAGCAACAGATGAGAAAACCAGAACTGATTTGTTTTCATTTTCAAAAAGTACCTAGAGTAATCATTGATTTTGTTTATAGGATAGTTTACCTGATTTTAAAATTAAATTCGAATTCTACGGATGAATTTCTTCTCTAAACATAAATATTTCTTATAGTTTGCCCTTTAAAGTGGCATAAAGTATTTGTATAGGCAAAGAAGCAAACAAGTTGAAAGAAACCCCAGAAAACTCCTCAAAGCATTTTCCTTTCATTATGGAAACCGAATTTACCTTAAAATTGCTGGAGTAAATGCTCGAAGATTTTCCTAAGTCAACATGCTTATGATTTGTCTTACTGAGAATAATAGCACTTTTTACCTTTTTTTTTTTTTTGTCACTTTACATTTTGTGGGAAATTTTAACTTCTTGGTAAAAAGTATTTTCATCGGAATAAAAATGGGACTTTCAGATGCCTGTCATTTTCTAAAATGCTTTGAAGTTTAAATTTTCTATGTATATCAAGAGAGTTAAGTCCCTCTGAATAGAGTGCACTAATGATAAATTTAAGATTTCAGGAATCAATCTACAATACTGTTACAAAAACCATACCTATTATTGACATCACACAGTCAGCTTTTGTGCAAATTTCATTTGTGACAACTATTTATTATACTTAAGTGGCAGGAAAAAGGCTCCAACACTGAAGTTTTAAAAATAGTGACAGGCACTGAATGTAGATGGCACTGGACCCATCAGATAATGTGATAAGACAGTGCTAACAGGTCAAAGCAGTTGTGGCAAATGAAAGGAATTAAGAAAGTACTCACGGCTATTCAGCAACTCACTTTTTTTTTTTTTTTTTTTTTTTTTTAACAAGAGTGCAACACTTCTGTGGGAAGCCTGAGAAAAGGTGCTCTGGTAGACGGAATTCTAAGGTGCCCCTAAGATTCCCTCCTTCCAGTGCATAACCCCTTCTTGAGTATGAGCAGGACAAGTGAATATGATGAAATATCACTCTGGTGATTTTGTTATATTATATGGCAGAAGGGATTTCGCAGATGTAGTTAAGGTCCCTAATCATTTCACTTTGACTTAATCAGAGAGAGATAAATCTGGGTGAAACTGACTAGTCAGGTGAGCCCTTAATAGAGATCAGAAAGATTGGAAGCACTAGAGAAATTCTCCTGCTGTCCTGGAAGAAGTAGGTTGCTGTCCTGGAAGAAGTAAGTTTCTGTGTGGTGAGAGGGTCTATGCAAGAGGTTGCAGGACAAAGACCTGAAGGCGGGTTCTAGCAGCTGAGTGTAGTCCCTAGCGAATAGCTAGCAAGAGAATAGGGTTATTGATCATTTAAACTGTAAGCAACTAGTGAGCTCGGAAGAGGACCCTGGTGTTGAAGGTGTGACTGTAGCTCCTGCCAGTACCTTGAGGTCAGCCTAGTGACATTCTGAGCAGAGGACCCAGCTAATTCGTGTCCAGACTTTCAAGCAAGAACACTTTGAGATGATAAGTCTTGTATTGTTTTAGGCTATGAAGTTTCTGGTAATCTTTTACATAGCAATAGGAAAATGAACATAGGTGAGAATGAAGCTTTTATGTGGACAGTACAGTTGTAAGGTTAAAGACAGGAGTATGAATGGCACCGGACTCTAGAGGCTTCAGCTAGCAGTAATCTAGAATGCAAATCAATTTCTCTCTTTTCATGTCTTTCTCCTTCTCATCAAGTTTATGTATATATAATAATATATTTTGTCTTTCTCAATATGTGCTATGTCTTTTTGTATTGCAAACTCTTATCTATAACTCTTTATTTATTATTTATTTTTGAGAAGGGTCTCACTCTGTCACCCAGGCTGGAGTGCAGTGGTGCAATCATGGCTCACTGCAACCTTAACCCCCACAGGCTCAGGTGACCCTCCGACCTCAGCCTCTCAAGTAGCTGGGAATATAGGCACGTGCCCCACACCCAGCTAATTTCTGTAGAGACGGGGTTTTGCCATGTTGTCTAGACTGGTCTCAAACTCCACCCGCGTTGGCCTCCCAACATGTGAGGGGGTGATCCACCCGCCTCGGCCTCCCAACGTGTTGAGATTACAAGGCATGAACCACCACACCTGGCCTATAACTCTTAATCCACCTTCTTATCCATATCTGTGTCATAGATTAAGATTGGGTGACATGAATCTTCCATTAAATTAAATTACTGAGAAAAAAGTTTATTCAAGGTAAGAAACAATTGAGTGGGTATTATGATAATTGTTTACAGTTACCATTGGGGTAAAAGAGATTTGACTTTGTCCATGCCTATGATGGGAAATCCATTACTAAAATTTATTTAATTTTTAAGACTTTATAGGTTGATAAAGATGAAGGAACATCTATAAAGTGAAGTGCTACACTATAAATTGGTAACATGTTTTTTGCAAGAAAGAATTTGACATCTTAAGTTAATAGCCCTAGGAATGTGTGCAATTGTTAGCATATTACATTTTTTGAATATATACTAAAAATTTAATTATGTGAAAATTGTTATGCAAGAAAGTGTTCTCTGCAATATTTTATGCAATATTTAGATTTCCCCCACCCTTGGAAATGAAAACCTAAATAAGGTTGATTTAGCAAACTTTTAGTATAAAAGCCCTCAATGGCATATTATGCAACCATTAAAAATATGTTAAATGAGATAGTAAATCATATGTAGTAATTTTTAGTATAACAAGTTAAGGGAAAAAGAACTATACAGAATGTATATATAATATGACTACACTGATTTAAAAATTATCAAATACAAGTGTGGTTCAAATCCTGGATGGAAATGTGTAATTCTGTTTGGATTGATGGGACTATGGTATTTTTATTTTACTTTTTGTTCAACATTTTTATTATTTTAGAAATATCTTTAATGAATATAGATTATTTTTTCTTTCTTTATTTTTATTATTATTATTTTTGAGATAGAGTTTTGCTCTTGTTATCCAGACTGGAGTACAGTGGTGCAATCTTTGCTCACTGCAACCTCCACCCCCTGGGTTCAAGCGATTCTCCTGCTTCAGCCTCCCGAGTAGCTGGGATTACAGGTGCCTGCCACCATGCCCGGCTAATTTTTTTGTATTTTTAGTAGACGTGGGGTTGCACTATGTTGGCCAGGCTGGTCTTGAACCCCTAGCCTCAAGTGATCCACCCGCCTCAGCCTCCCAAAGTGCTGGGATTACAGGCATGAGCCACTGCTCCTGGCTGATGATTTTTAAAATAATTAAAACACAAGCCTTGCCCAAGAATTTTTTTTTTCCCGAGAAAATAATATCCAAGACCTTTTGCCTTCTAAGGATAAATCCATGGTGATGACTGTAATAGGCCTAACAAAAGCTGAGGGATAGTTGATCTGCCACTTATTTCACATGTGCTGAGGAGCCCTGTGGCAGAGAGATCAAACTGATGGCCTGTGGGCCATAGTCCATCTGTAGATATGCTTTGCACTGTGTTTTAAGGAAATTTAAGACAACATTTAAAAACCAGAAAGTTTCATGCAAAAACCGTATTTTTCATCTCTGCTTACAAATTTGGGTGATCTATTGACATCAAGCTCATGTTCTCACATGGCACCAAAGGGCTGGAGTTGAAAATCTCTTCCACCTTACCACAGTCCACGGCTCCCAGTGCCCTGCCTGATACCGAGACTCAGTATCAATTGCAATTCATCATTGCACTTGCTCTCTTGTTATCCTTAAAGTGGAAAAACATTTTTTCTGTGCTTGTTTCCCTATCAAAAGTGGAAAATGAAAGATGGAGCGCAGAGGGCTCCTTGTTCCTGAAGCCCACTATGCTTTCTTCATTTATGAGCTTGTTGGCATTTGTGATTGTGACCCCGGGGAGATTAAATAAATAATTGATTGAAAGCACCTAGTATAACCTGGGCCAGATACTTAGCATATGTTAATTTCCTTCTATATATCCTTTCTTGTAGTTGTTTTGAAACATTTTGACATGGAATAAAGTGGTTATTACATTCCCATGGACTCTTAAGTGGAGCAAGCATCACAACAAAATGTTGAAATCAAGCAGGAAAGACCTAGATTACATTTCTAATAAAGCTGAAAATATAAAGAGGGAAGATAGTATGATAACCATGTAGGTGACCCCAGTTTTCCCTTTCTATCTCTACTGAAATCGATGAAATTTCTCCCCAGAGCCAGGGAGGAGAGAAAACCATCCCCTGCTGCAGTGTTCAGTTTCAATTGGCTGTGTATCCCTGGCCTCGGGGTGAGGTTAACTGTGCAAAGGAAAGTCACATTTCAGAACACTTAAATATTTTTGCTTGCTAAACCACACTGAAGACACTAATTCCATTTATTTCCTAGCTGTATAGAGGTGAATGAGCAAAAAACCACTCCTGCATTTCCAGTCTTCAAATAAAGCCTAATTAAAGAAATATATAGTTTTTATTGAGCTGCAAGAAAAAGGGACATGGTACACAATTAAGTTCGCATTAATTATTAAAGCCATAAAATTATTAATGTAACAAATATTACACATTAATAAGAAATATATTTTGTCGCCAACTGCTGCATGAAATTTCTCTTTCATAATCTATAATCCAAAGGAGAAATGGAAAAAGAATGTGTAAAAAACATTATGTTCTAGCCTTAAGTTTATTGCTGTTGGAAGTAAGATGTTTGACATATTTCAATACTATTATTTCTAAGATGCAATTGTTCTGAGTCAGTTAAACAATAAAGTGGGAGAAAAAGGTATAATTGTGATAATAATTGCTTGTAATGAAGTTTGACTAGGGGGCTAAAAATATTTGTCAATCTGCCCAATATTTTCCTCTGATAGAAGACTACAAGTTCAGTATGCAGAGAGGAGAGGGACTTCCTCCACCCTCATTTCCTATCTTCCCTGGCTGAGCTTGAATTATTCTGCTCTTACTCTTTTTGGAGTGAGAAAGATGACATTAAAGCCAGCTTTCTGATTCATGGATCGCCTACTCGGAAAATTCTCACAGTCATTCAAAGTCCTTTGGAGAATAAGAAATGATTATTTATCCACCCACTCATCCCCGGTCCTATTCTGTACTTCTTATCAAAACCCAGTAACCTGCTACTGCAATTGGCTGTTTACTTCCATGCATGCCATAGGCTTATACAGTACACAGCATATCATAAGCCTCTTCTAAGGTCACAAGAGAGCTGTTTTGTTCAAATCAAGATTAAGATTGCATGATTTATAAGTATCTTAATGAGATCTTATTGGTGAATCAATTTTTAAAATGTTAGTAATATCATCCCTGAGAGGTTTGAAAAAAGAAAAAAAAAAAAGTTAATGTCTACTGTTGGGGATGGTACAAGGTGAAGGAGGTGTTCTACTTTAGAAACCAGTGTGTCCGGAATTGGTGGGTTCTTGGTCTCACTGACTTCAAGAATGAAGCCACGGACCCTCGCGGTGAGTGTTACCGTTCTTAAAGGCGGCATGTCCGGAGTTTGTTCCTTCTGATGTTCGGATGTGTTCGGAGTTTCTTCCTTCTGGTGGGTTCATGTTCTCGCTGGCTCAGGAGTGAAGCTGCAAACCTTCACGGTGAGTGTTACAGCTCTTGAGGTAGTGCGTCTGGAGTTGTTCGTTCCTCCTGGTGAGTTCATGGTCTCGCTGGCTTCAGGAGTGAAGCTGCAGACCTTCAGAGTGAGTGTTACAGCTCACAAAGGCAGCGTGGACCCAAAGAGTGAGCAGCAGCAAGATTTATTGCAAAGAGCAAAAGAACAAAGCTTCCACAGTGTGGAAGCAGACCCGAGCTGGTTGCCAGTGCTGGCTCTGGCAGCCTGCTTTTATTCTCTTATCTGGCCCCACCCACATCCTGCTGATTGGTCCATTTTGCAGAGGATGGATGGTCTGTTTTGACAGAGCGCTGATTGGTGCGTTTACAATCCCTGAGCTAGACACAAAGGTTCTCCACCTCCCCACTAGATTAGCTAGATACAGAGTGTAGACACAAAGGTTCTCCAAGTCCCCACCAGAGTAGCTGGATACAGAGTGTCCACTGGTGCATTCACAAACCCTGAGCTAGACACAGGGTGCTGATTGGTGTGGTTACAAACCTTGAGCTAGATACACAGTGCCGATTGGTGTATTTACAATCCCTTAGCTAGACATAAAGGTTCTCCAAGTCCCCACCAGACTCAGGCGCCCAGCTGGCTTCACCCAGTGGATCCCGCACCGGGGTCGCAGGTGGAGCTGCCTGCCAGTCCCGCGCCTTGCGCCCGCACTCCTCAGCCCTTGGGTGGTCGATGGGACTGGGCGCCGTGGAGCGGGGGCGGCGCTCGTCGGGGAGGTTCCGGCTGCACAGGAGCCCACGGAGGAGGGGGAGGCTCAGGCATGGCGGGCTGCAGGTCCCAGCCCTGCCCCGCGGGGAGGCGGCTAAGGCGCGGCGAGAAATCGAGTGCAGCGCTGGTGCCGGCACTGCTGGGGGACCCAGCACACCCTCCGCAGCCGCTGGTCTGGGTGCTAAGCCCCTCATTGCCCGGGGCCTGCAGGGCCGGCCGGCCGCTCTGAGTGCCGCCCGCCAAGCCCACGCCCATCCGGAACTCCAGCTGTCCCGCAAGCGCGGCGCGCAGTCCCGGTTCCCGCTCGCGCCTCTCCCTCACCTCCATGCAAGCTGAAGGAGCTGGCTCCGGCCTTGGCCAGCCCAGAAAGGGGCTCCCACAGTGCACCGGTGGGCTGAAGGGCTCTTCAAGCGCCGCCAGAGTGGGCGCCAAGGCTGAGGAGGCGCTGAGAGCGAGTGAGGGCGCACGCCGTCAATTCTCACAGCAGCAAAAAGAAAGTGTGTAAGTAGAATATGCAATCTTCCCTAGAAGGGAACTATCAAAATCAAGCGGGAGTTCAAAGGTGAAAAATTAACACTTAGTTCGAAGAGTTAGGATAAACTTCTTGGAAAAGGTGACATTTAAGATGTGTGGTAATGAATGGGAGGAGTTTTAAGCAGAGGAAAGATTATGGATGTCTGGGTAGTTAGAAGTGCAAGAAGGCACATGAGCAAATGGACAGAGGGAAAGTTTAGTTCATGCTAGGGAATAGCACGTACTCCAACTTGGCTGAAACAATTTCCACGGAAGACCTGGGAAATTAGGCTCCCAGAAGTGGGTTAGAGTTCTATCAAGGTGGCCTTGATAGGCCTTAAATGACAGGCCTGGGAGGTTAATGATTAAGGTCTGGGTGTTATCACTCTACATGGAATGTGCTTTCAAGGTTGGTGCTACGTTAATTTAGTTTTATGTTTTATTTAAGTGTACTGTAGTCCCATTTAGCAACCAGCTCTCTTAGATTGAGTTCTCTGGCTCCAGCTTCTTTCTTTCTTTTTTTTAAAATAAATTTTATGTGTATATTTGAGGTTTACAACATGCTATTATAAGATACATATGGCTGGGTGCAGTGGCTCACACCTGTAATCCGAACACTTTGGGAGGCTGAGGGGGGTGGATTACCTGAGGTCAGGAGTTCAAGACCAGCCTGGCCAACATGGTGAAACCCTGTCTCTACTAAAAATAAAAAAATTAGCCGAGCATGATTGTGTGTGCCTGTAATCCCAGCTACCTGGGAGGCTGAGGCAGGAGAATCGCTGGAACCTGGAAGGTGGAGGCTGCAGTGAGCCGAGATCGTGCCACTGGAACTCCAGCCTGGGTGACAGAGCAAGACTCCATCTAAAAAAAAAAAAAATTACATATCATATAGATAGTAAAATGATCATTACAGTGAAGAAGCAAGCAGATTAACATATCTGTCATTCCCACATAGTTACGCTTCTTGTGAAAAGAGTAGCCAAAATCTACTTATTTAACAAAAATCCCTAATACATTTTTATTAATTTTAGTTGTCATGTCGTAAATTCGATCTCTGAACTTGTTCGTCCTGTGTAACTGCTACTTTATGTCCTTTGACCTGCGTCTCCCCATTTCCTATCCCTGTCCACCTCCATGGTGGTAACCACTGTTTCATTCTCAATCACTGTATTTGAGCTCTTCCTAAAATATATTCCACATATAAGTGAGTCCATGCAAATTTGTGTGTGTGTGTGCCTGGCTTATTTTACTTAGCAAAATGTCTTCTGGTTTCATCCATGTTGTGGCAAATGTCAGGATCTCCTTCTTTTGTAAGACCAAGTAATATTCCATTGTGTGTGTGTGTGTGTGTGTGTGTGTGTATGTGATATCTATATCTACATCTATATGTAACATCTTTATCCATTCATTCATTGATCAGCATTTAGGCATTTAGGTTATTTTCATGTCTTGGCTGCAATGAATATGGAAGTGCACGTATTTTTATGAGGTGGTGATTTCATATCCTTTGGTTGTATACCCAGAAGAGGGATTGGTGGATCATCTGTAAGTTCTTTTTTTTTTTCTTTTTTTTTAGACCGTGTCTCACTCTTTCACCCAGGCTAGAGTGCAGTGATGTGATCACAGCTCACCGCAGCCTTAATCCCCTGGCCTCAAGCGATTTTTCTGCCTCAGACTTCTTAGGTATCTGGGACTACAGGAGTGTACCACCACACATGGCTTTTTTTTAGGAAAAAAAAAAGTTTCAGTAGAGGCAAGGTCTCGTTATGTTGCCCAGGATGGCCTTGAACACCTGGGCTCAAGCAATCCTCCTGCCTTGGCCTCCCAAAGTGTTGGGATTACAATTCTGAGCCACCACACCCAGCCTGGAAGTTCTATTTTTAATTTCTTTAGGAACCTTCATAGTATTTTCCATGACTGTACCAATGTACATCCCCACCAACAGTGTACTAGGGTTTCTTTTTCTCCACATCTTTATCAGCATGTCTTATCTCTTGTCTTTTTGTTACTAGTCATCCTTACGGGTGGGGTGTGTGGTGATATCTCATAGTGGTTTTAATTTTCACTTCTCGTATGATTAGTGATGCCAAACACCTTTTCATAAATCTGTTGCCCATTTTTATGTCTTATTTGGAGAAATATCTGTTCAGGCCCTTTGCTCATTTTTAAATTGGGTTATTTGTTTTCTGGAATTGAGTTGTGGAGTTGCTCACAAATTTTGGATATTAACTTCTTATCTGATATGTGGTTTGCCATTGTTTTTTTCTAGTCTGTGGGTTGCCTTTTAATGTTGCTGGCCTCTCCTTTGCTGTACAGAGCTTGCTAGTTTTATATAATCACATTTATTTATTTTTGGTTTTGTAGCCTGTGTTTTTGGTGTGATATTCAAGAAACCATTGCCAAGGCCAATGTCAAGCAGCTTTTCCCCTATGTTCTCTTCTAAAAGATTTATGGCTTCAGGTTTTACATTTAGGTATTTTATCCATTCGAGTTGATTTTTGTGCATGGTATAAGATAAAGCCCAATTTCATTCTTTTGCATGTGGAAATCCAGTTTTATCAGGACCACTTATTGAAGAAACTATCTGTTCCCCATTGTATCCTCTTGGTGGCCTTGTTGAACATTTGTTGACCTTATATGTTTGGATTTATTTCTGGGTTCTCTATTCTGTTCCATTGGTCTATGTTTCTGTTTTCATGCCAGTACTATGCTGTTTTGATTATTATAGCCATAAAATATAATATTATTTTATTTTATTTTTTGAGATGGAGTCTCACACTGTTGCCCAGGCTGGAATGTATTGGCACCATCTTGGTTCACTGCGACCTCTACTTCCCGGGTTCAGGCGATTCTCGTGCCTCACCCTCCCAAGTAGCTGGGATTACAGGCACGTACCACCATGCCGGGCTAAATTTTTTGTATTTTTAGTAGAGACAAGGTTTCGTTATGTTAGCTCGGCTGGTCTCGAACTCCTGACCTCAGGTGATCCTCCTGCCTCGGCTTCCCAAAGTGCTGGGATTATAGGCGTGAGCCACTGGGCCTAGCCAGTAGCTTTATAATTTTAAATCAGAATTGTGATGACTTCAACTTTGTTTTTGTTTCTCAGTATTGCTTTGCTATTCAGAAGGTATTGCAGTTCCATTTGAATTTTAGGATTATTTTTTCTATTTCTGTAAAGAATGCTATTGTAATTTTGATAGAGATTGAGTTAAATCTGTATGTTGCTTTGGATGGTATGGACATTTTAACAATATTAGTTCTTCCTGTCCATGAACATAAGATATCTTTCCATTTATTTGTGTCTTCAGTTTTTTATCTGTATTTTATAGTTTTCAGAGTACAAATCTTTCACCTCTTTTGTTAAATTTATTTCTAGGTTTTAAAAATGTTATTGTAAATTTGATTGTTTCCTTAATTTATTTTTCAGCTAGGTCATTATTTGTGTGTAGAAATCCTACTGATTTTTATATGCTGATTTTGTTGTAACTTTACTGAATTTATTAGTTCTAACAGTTTTCTGAAATCTTTGGGATTTTCTACATGCCATTTTCAAGTAGAGATAATTTCAATTCTTCCTTTATGTTTTGGATGCCTTTTCATTTGTTTTCTTTTGTGATTGTTCTTGTGAGTACTTCTAGTACTATGTTGAATAGAAATGGTGAGAATGGGCAACCATACCTTGTACCACATCTTAGTGAAAAAGTTTTCAATTGTTCCTCAATGATTATGATGTTAGCACTGAGTTTTTTAATAAATGGCTTTTATTATTTGTGTTTTTAAAAATTTTATTCTGGGCCGGGCGCGGTGGCTCACGCCTGTAATCCCAGCACTTTGGGAGGCCGAGGCGGGTGGATCATGAGGTCAGGAGATCGAGACCATCCTGGCTAACAAGGTGAAACCCCGTCTCTACTAAAAATACAAAAAATTAGCCGGGCGCGGTGGCGGGCGCCTGTAGTCCCAGCTACTCGGGAGGCTGAGGCAGGAGAATGGCGTGAACCCGGGAAGCGGAGCTTGCAGTGAGCCGAGATTGCACCACTGCAGTCCGCAGTCCGGCCTGGGCGACAGAGCGAGAGTCCGTCTCAAAAAAAAAAAAAAAAAATTTTTATTCTGTTGAGGAAGTTTCCTTCTATACCTAAATTGTTAAGAGTTTTTTGTAAGGAAGAATGCTGAACTTAGTCAAATGCTTTTACCGCATCAATTGAGATGATCATGTGGTATTTAATCTTTCATTCTTTTAATGTGGTGTATCACACTGATTGATTTGCATATGTTAAACCAGCCTTGTATGGCAGGGATAAATCTCACTTAGTCATGATGTGTAATATTTTTACTTTGCTGTTCAATTCAATTTGCTAACATTTTATTGAGGATTTTTGCATTGATATTCATCAGAGACATTGGCCTGTAGTTTTCTTTGTTTTGCAGTGTCTTTGTCTTGCTTGAGGTATCAAGGGGGCTCTGGTTTCTTTTGTGTGTTTCATGGTTCTTTGCTTATAGTAAATAATAACTACCAACTCAATGTATCCATTGACTTTTTATTTGATTGCTGAATTTCTTGGTTGTTCTCAACCACAAGGTATCAGCAAGTATTACATACCATATTAGCTCTTAAGAGCATCGTGGAGTAAGTATGCTCATTTTATAACCCATCAGAATTAAGGTTGCAGAGATTAAGATGTTTGCTCAATTTCTTCCAATGAGACCAGACCCACACATTTTGATTTCAAGTCCTGAACTGTTTTCCACTGTTGTGGTTTCTAGAACACGTAGGCTTTAATACTTGGTAATATCAAGCAAAAGGAAAGAAAAAAGATGCATTTTGGGGATAATAAGAGAGAAGCTCAAAAGAAGTTCTCTTCCTACACAAATCTAAATTTCACTTGGATCCAAGTGTTCAGCATGACTCAATCTTTCTCATAGATTTTCTTTTGCTCATATACATTTTAGTATCTCATCTCATCCTGGATTTCCAGACAAAGATATGTGAAAAATCCTCTTTTAATAACAATATTGGATCATTATAATAATAGTTATTATTTACTCTTTTATCATTTAGTGTTTGCCAGTTTGCTGTATAGATGCTTTACACATATTATGTCTATTTCTTTTGCAATTCCACAAACCCATTTAGTGTTTGCCAGTTTGCTGTATAGATGCTTTACACATATTATGTCTATTTCTTTTGCAATTCCACAAACCCATTTTACAAAGAAGTAACTAAACTTTCTTCCCCCACCACCCCTGGCTTTATTGTGGTATAATTAACAAAAATTGTACATATTTACAATGTACAATGTGATGTTTGGATGTGTGTATACATTGTGAAATGATTACCACAATCAAGCTAATTAACTTATTCACTGCCTAATATTCACACCCCACTTTGTGTGTACGTGGTTAGAACATTTAAGATCTACTCTTTTAGTAAATTTCAAGTATTTAATATTAGTATTATTAGCTATAATCCCCTTGCTGTACATTAGCTCTCCAGAATTCATTCATCCTCCATAACTGAAACTTTGTACCCTTTGATGTACCTCTCCCTATTTCCCCCACCCTCCAACCCTGGCAAACACCATTCTAGTGTCTGCCTCTATTAGTTTGGCTTTTTTGGATCTTACATACACATGAGATCATGCAATATTTGTCTTTCTCTGCTTCGTTTTTCCAATCTACTCCTGCCTTCAGATTCTGAGACCTTTCCTCCTGTCTCCAAAGCTACCGGTGTCTAGCCAGGAACATGTTTACTGAATTTATTCTACTACTTTTTTTTCTGAAAACATGATTTAGGTCAAGCTCGAATCCTATAGCCTTAGGCAAGAAGACTCCTTCAAAATCATTTCTATTTATTGCCTATCTTTTAAGTCTCCGTTGTGTGCCTGATTTTAGTCTAATTTCAGAGAAGCTATTGAAAGATAGCAGTGTAAGATATGCTTTTTATCTTGCAGGAACGTAAACTTCAGTTAAATCAAACACAAATTCAACTGAAGGGGGAGTGGAGTCAATAGGGTCCCAAAATTATACATTCTAGAAGGTTGGTAAAGGGAAACAGGAGATGAGGATAAAATCGGACCTTGAAGGTTGGGTAGAATTAGGATGAGTGGAAAGAAGTGGGCATTTGGTGAGAGTGATAGAAAGCACTGTGAAAAAAGGTGCTGGCCTGTGAATGTTTTTGTTTACTAAAATGCTTCTAACTCATCTTTGAATTTACTCTTGGTTCTTCCTAATGACCAATCAAAAAAGAAAAGCAACAACAACAACAACAAAACTGTTTTTGAGCCACTCTCTGTGGTCACGGTATGAAAGACTGAATGGCTTAAATGCACTTCAATGTCAGAAGTCAAGCAACACACTAATAGGCCTAAAGGTAAAAGCTATTGTTATTGGCAGTTCAAGGACATACTTGTGCAAGACAGTCATTCTAACCTAAAATGCTAACCTCCATCTGGTTTGGGCTAATTTAATGTGTAGGTGTAGGTGTGAGATTTACAATCCTTTGAAGAGTGTGGGACAGTAAGTATTTAACCTCAAGAGGGTGTGATTTCTACTGCATCACTTAAAAAAAAAAAAACAGTGGTAACACCACAAACATGTACATCACCTATAAACCAATTCTGGCTTGATGATATTATCACATTTTTTTAAGCCGGTGACACAGATATCTTGTGCTCAATCACCTGGGATAAATCTGTTATGAAAACGTTGAATTGCTTCAAATTGTTTTCACCTGTATCAGGTAGTTTTACATAAGGTAGTGGAGAATTGAGAGACAATAGATTCACCACTCCTGAAAGAAATCCCCATTTCCCTCATTCTTTTTTTAGCTGCCTGCAGATTGCACCTAAGTCTTTTCTAATACTTTTTCTCACATTATTTACTTCAGCTTGTAGAGTGGTGCCAACAGGGTTAGGATTCAAATAACCTGGGGTTCTGTTAGAAATGCCAGTGTCCAAGCTCTCTTCTCAGGGTCAGATTGCATTGATATGAGTTGGGCAGAGCCATGGATATTTTTTTGAAAGGCCTCTAGGTGAATCTAACGTGCATATGGGGTTAAGAATCATTGATTTACAATCTTCATATGTAGAAAGGTGGATGGGCTTTAGTCATGTTATAAATAACGTAATAGAAAATGTTATCAAGTTGAAGCATTATGAAGCTTTCTAGGGAGAATGAGAACTATTCCAATGGACTACCAATTCTACACTAAAAGGTAGAAGGCTTGCAGGAACTTGCCTAATGACCATTAAAAAACCTGCATCTTGTCTCCAACTCCTGTGCCTTTCTACCAAGTTTTTCAATACCTGTGATTATGTATGATTTACTCAAATATCACAACCTTGGGAGAGGTTTTTCTTGGCTATCCAATCCAAAATAGTCTTTCTCCATCCTTATTTTATCTTATTTTTTTCATAACACAGTATCTGAAATCAACATGTTTATTATTTATTTATTAATCTGCTTTCTCACATTAGAAAGTGTGAGAACAGGGATCTTTATCATCTTGTTAACTCCTATATCCCTAGCATCTAGAACAGTGATTTGTGTATGATTGTTGAATACATGAATGACACAGTGAGAATTAAGCATTCCTACAAATATGTCAATCCCATCATGTGGTCTATGTCTAGATGGAGGCGGAACAGGGACACTTTTAATAGGATAGGTTTCTTGGAGCAGCAGCTGCATTTGAGGCAGAAAATCAATTTCTACCCTGGATGACATTTTCAAAAGAAGTGTATCTGGTAGCGTGGAATCTTCTATCTGACAGGGCTTGTGTCAAAATACTAGGATGTCTAGATGAGTGGCCCACTTTCTGTAGAGAGGGTGTGCCATTCAAAGATGCTCTGAACTGTACATGCAATTTAGTCCTTGTTCTAACAGACTTTCTGCTTGCACAAAGAAGAGAGTGACTATGGCTTTGTGAGTATACTTATGTTCAGCAAGGAATTTGCATGTGAATGCATATATGCACATTTTATAAACTTGCTGGAGAAAGAAACGTGGGATGCAGATTCCCCAAGTTAGCTAGTATGTATAATATTTTTGGTAGTTGGGTGGAGGACGCCTGTCTGGTATGTTCTTAAATATTTGAAATACAACCATTGTTTAAGACCTAAAATTCACAATAAGATGGAGACAATTTCAGAAAAAAATCTAGACTGTTAATCACAATTTATGCAAAACATGTTAAGTGGATGAACCCAACCATTTGTCATGTACACACCATTGTGCTAAGGAATGCCTTTCCTCATGCTATTCGTTACTGAGGAAAATCACTGCCAAAGCAGTTTAGCTAATTCATTTCCATGTTTGGAATTAAGCATTTTTAACAGTTATCTACTTCCCATTGTCTGCCTGGGACAAGCCTTGTCTTGTCAGGGCTTAGCTGGCTGCTGCCAGAATTGAGATAGGGACATCAGAATCGTGTTGTAAACTCAGGAAGATATAGTCAGGGAAGCCTGCCTCTGCCCAGGAGTAAGAGGGGAGAGACAAAGAGGCAATGTTAGTTTTATGTGTATATGGAGCTAATAACTGCTTGCTTTGTGCCATTTCAGCACCCTAGACAGTATGTGTATTTCCTCTACTTCTTCCTCTCCACTCCCCATCCAAACACACATACAGAAACTTATAATGTCTTTAATAGGGAGATAGCTTTTAATTTATAAATACAGAAGAGATAATACTTCAGGTAGAAGAAAATTATTGATTGATATTCTCATGGATTGAAATAACTGATAATAGATCTTTTCCTGAGCTGAAAAAATAAGGGAGCTAATAAATTTTCGACTTGTACTATGTGCTGAGTTCTGTCTTAGAAAAATTAAATATAATTTAAATATTTCATTTAACATAAAACTTAGATAAGAGTTTGGTAGGAAAATGATCTCAGGTGCTTGAAATCAGGTTGGCAATAGAAAACCCTCCTAAATGGGAGCCCAGGCTTTTGTAGGCAAAATTTGTTCACTTCAGAAATTTCCTTGGAGCTGGATTTTTTCAAAATGGGAACAGAGGATTAAAATGTGTGTAGGCTTCTATCCTTGAATCCCAAGGGAGTTTACAGTTTAAAAACATTAATAAAATTAAAACTAAAACTGTTAAAAATAAGTTAAAGTAGTAACAGTATGCCATCAACAAGTTAATGACTATTGCAATTATAAATTAATAGAGGTGGCTCCCTTTGACCTGCCCTAGATGTCATATCAATTGATTAAATGTTCCGAGACAATGAAATGGAAAAAGACATCTTTATTATAATGCTTCAGGCAGGAAATATTTTTATTTTGCTATTAGGAGCACATCCACATGTCAATGACCAATTCCATTTGGAAAAAAGACACTTTTTAGGATATGCACAATTAGGAAAAAAATCCAAGGTGAACCTTAGGTCTTAACTAACCACCTCTGTTATTTTTAGTTGACATTAAGAATCATAAAAGATAGCATTTTTAGGCTTTATTTTGATTCAGAGCAGCAGAGTTGTTGGTTCCATATTCTCAGAGGTGTCATGGGGTAGCACAGCCCTGCTGGGCTGACATTCTCAGTAGACATTGCTGGGAGCATGTTCTGTGCTGGGTCTCTGCACCTCAGTGACAAGAAATAAAATGGAAAAGGTGTCAGCAAACTAGCAGATTTTCTACCACGTTCTGCTAGCCATTCTGAGTGTGCTGGGGATGCTGTCTTCTTGAGAATGATTCAGCAGCCATGGACCTGCCTTCTGAGACAGCTGTTTTGAGCCTTAGCTTCTCTCTGGTGATGGGTGAAATCTGGAAGGGAAAGGTCTCATTTTCCCTTTTACTAGAAAAATATATTTCTATAAAAAAATAATAGAATCAATTTCCATAACCCCAGATAGGAAATGAGAAGCCCTGGATGAAAGACAAGTATATTTGATATTCAAAAACAGTTGATGATAAAATAAAATTGACCACATACCTGTAATTTGATTGGCCATATAAAAAGTGGTTGCCTGGCAGGCAGAACTAAATCTCTAATCACTTGAAAAGTGATCTCTTGAGTGGACCGGTAGACACATAATCTCATATCTTGTAGCCCGTCAGGTCAGAAAGCTGTTACTTCTGGGGCCTAAACAACTTTGCAACGGGCCATGGCTCTGTACTTTTGAGGAATGGGGAGAACTTTCTTTGTGTCCCAAGAGAGCATGATTAATGTAATATTTAGCACATCTGTTGCAGGTTAAACAATCATATTTCTCTGACTTCTGGATTTTTATTCTAGTCATTCTTTTATTGCAACGTGTCCCTTTCAAATGTGGAAGATCAAAATATAACATAATGTTTAAAAGTATTTATAATGTTGGGCATAGGAAGGGAACAGAGTAATGACTTTTGAATGTTCTACTTTTTAAAATATACACTAATTCACTGTCAATTTCAGTAATCAACTTTATTGCTGGATCATAATTACAACTAAGATGATGTATTCCCACTTATATTAAAACAGCCTTTCAAAACCAGAACATCATTCATTCACACATACATTATGTCCCAGGCAGTCTGCTAGACTCAAGACTGGAAGTAAGGAGGTCCTTACATGGTCAATGTGGGATGTGAACAGGAATCAAGCAAACAACCCAGTTGTATTTGTTTTTCTGCTAGGAGGAGGAACAGGGTGGTAAGAATGCCTCTAGGAGGTATACCAGTGGTCAGGGAAGCCTTCATGGAGGAAGTGTTCTCTAATTTGAGGCCTTCAAGAACTACTTGTGGAAAGCAATGGATAAATGAGATGTAATTAAGGTGATGGCAGTCACCCAATTCTGCCCACATGATGTGTGATGTATTTTGCTATAGCTTTAAAATAGAAACAATAAAAGGACACCAAGTGCTAACAGATGATGTGATTTTCCTGGGCCTCACCTATTTTACATCGTGCCATTTAAAAAATTACTTTTGGACATTTGCAATTTTATCTTAGTTATGATTTGGGGAAGTATTGACGCTCCCCATTCACAACACATTACAACAGCTGCATCATTCTTTTAAGGATAAATAAGTGTCTTTTCAACAAGTACTTAGTATGCTTAATAAACAATTTGTTATTGTTTTTATTATTATTTATGCTAGGATGAAGAATCCTTAGGAGATCACTGAAACATTTTTATCTAGAGAGAACAATGTAGAGAAGTAAATTGGCAAAGAATTTGAAGCATATGGACAGAAATACAAGTATTTACAGTACTTATAAATTTCATTATGACTATATAAAATACAGCATCATTTGTCAGTAAATCAAAGCTTACACAAGTGGCAATTGTGAATGCAGTTGGTTACAATATTAAAAGAACAGGGATTAGGAGTGTAACTGAGATTCCTTTTATGATAAATTATCTAGCTCCTGGCTACCGTGTATGAGCTCTATTAACTGCCTATAAATTGTTCATCATAAAATCTAGTTCATTCTTGTTAATTAGGCCAAGGCTTTTATAAAGACTTTTTTCTCCTCTCTATGAAAGCCTGGGCTGGCAGGAGAGTAGCTACACCAGAACACTGAGGAAAAAAGGGACCCTTTGCTAAGCAAGATGCTATGCTCCTTAAGAACTAGTAATTAAAAAAGAAATTCCTGAATTAAAATTACTTTAAACTAAAATTACTTTTGCTTCTCTTACAAGTGAAAATAGAATCATTCTATTGTAGTCACAGAAGAGGGTTAAATACAGCCTAAATAATTATATCGTCTTACTGCAAATTCTCTCAATCAATAATATGCAAGAAAGAAAGGATATATGCATAAAAGAACTAGGTACACCCACTAGAATTGATTAATACCAAGCAAGTTCCAGAAAGACAAATAGACATATCGTATTCTGCTGGCATGTCATTGCACGTCATTTTATTATGCATTTTACCCATGCAGTTGAACTTCTATGCAAAATTATCTTTGAGGAAATCTTGTATTTGTTGCTGATCACCAATTTTTTTTTCTGTTGTATTTTGCTCTTCGTGGTGCTCACATAAGTGATCAACTGGCAGGCAGTGAATGTTATGTTTATATTATCTCATATTTTGCATTGCTAACTGGCTCCCTTGATACCATTTAAGGTGCATCCCTAATCAGCTCTCACGTTTCACACTTCCCTTGCAATCTCTGGATTTTGTGAAGAGTAGACATGTGGTGCCCCATTACTGGATGCCAAAGTGGTTGTGACTTCAGGAAGTCCCAATAGTCAGAGCCACAGGCTGAGTCAAGCCGTGTGATTGCTCCCCTGAGATGCAGTTAGCAAGCCTCCCTGACAGAGGCCAGAGGCAAGGAACAGTCAAAGGCTGGAAAACTCTGTATGTTTGCCTACACTCCCATGCTTAACACCCATTAAGGCACAATTAAGAATGGTCAGAAACATTATTATATTTGGAAACCCCAACAATAGCAAAAGTTGGAGAAAAGGGAAAATCAGTTCAAACCAAGAAAAAGTGATTCTTGTATTTTTTTTAAAACAATGAGATTTTAGCTTATGCAACATTTTATTTTCCCTTGCAAATGCTAATATTAGCTTACAGTTAGAGAAATTGTAGAACAATTAAGTAAAGCATGTTTCATTTCCAAGATCTTTTGGATACATCAGGGTTGTCTCACTCCTTTCCAATTCACAGGATCTTAACTCTGTACTCTTCCCTGGTTCAGCTTCTGGGTGATGTTCCCAGTTCCACGAGACTGTGGTGCGGAGTTCATTTGAAATTAGCTGCTTAGGAAGACAATGCAATTCTTTGGACTGCATAGTAGTAAGGCCAACACAAGGGGCTTACTTGAATGGACTGTGGTTTGAATCAGTAACTTTAAAACTAGGCTAAGGTAATGCCCTGGAGGCCTTAACAATGAATGCCTTGGGGAGAATAAATTGCAATAGGCTTAAACAGTCTTTCCTTTCTGATGTTACAGAGATTGCTTAAATTCTGCTTAGCTCAGCTTTAATTGAAATGATTTTTTTTTTCTTTTTGAAATACTTCTAAAAAGCCTTTATAAACATGGTGTTTTGCATTTTTTTTAAGAATCTCTTTTGTAAAAACAAACAAACAAAAAAACCTTTACTTTTCGTTACCATCATCCCCATCATCATTATTGTTATTGTAATCAAATGTTGAATTATGACACATAGCTAGTGGTCCCAGTTTTCACCAGATAATTGGGTTCTTTTATAGGCCTCTCTTTAAGCTTTGAATAGGCTAATGGAAATGAATAAATACAAGGTTTGGGAAAAGAAATCTTACCTTATGACAAAGTCTCTTCCAACCCACTGACCAGAAAGTAGCAATGATGAAAGCATGCAAAGGAGAAGAGGCTGGGCAGACAGGAAAAGAGGGACTGTGGAGAAGGCACAAATGGTTTTTAACCATTTCATTCCCCAAACAGCCTGTGCCACTTAGTCTCATTTTTCTTTGACAAGAACTAGACATATGGCATCGCCTAATTGTGAATGGGACTGGAAATGGAGTCCCTGTCTGGGTAGTCGCCTTCTAGCAACAGTTTTCACTATGGAGGGAGTAGAGGGGAGTATACATCTTTGGTGAACAGTTGGTGGCCTGGGGCACAACATTTTGTATGTTACTTTAAGCTTAGAAAATCCTTTTTTACAGCTATAAACTATTCAACTTCTAAGGCCACTTTAAGTTATGAGCAAATATTTAGTCAGCTCAATCAACTGACCAATTAATTGAGTGGTCAATCCACCTGGTTGGCTGACTGAACTAAGATTTGCTTGGCTGAATGAAATGGTTACTTTTGCATAAAAAGTTTGTGCTGCAGTTCTATATACGGATAGAATCACGGCTGGGCATGGTGCCTCACGCCTGTAATCCCAGCACTTTGGGAGGCCAAGGCTGGCAGATTGCTGGAGCCCAGGAGTTCAACACCAGCCTGGGAAACATAGTGAAACCCCATCTCTACAAAAAATATAAAAATTAGCTGGGTGTGGTGGCATGCGCCTGTAGTCCCAGCTGGTCAGGAGGCTGAGGTGAGAGAATCATCTGAGCCTGGGGAGGTGAAGGCTGCAGTGAGCCGTGATTGTGCCACTGCCTTCCAACCTGGGTAACAGAGTGAGATTGTCTTAGAAAAAGAAATAAATGGAAAAAAATAGAATCAAATTTCACCTGGTGTAAAATTTATCTTTGTCACCACATTTATTTTTCTATATACTGTCATCTTCCTAATTTATTTTCCCAAATTTCTTCTAGAATGATCTTTCTGTATTACTCAGGTTGCTTCTTTCAGAGCTTAGCTGAGAGTATACAGACCAGCTTTGTCTCAGTATCTTTTCATCAGTACCTAATTTGCTTGTTTTATTTTAGTTGTCAATACCTGGTGAGATCAATCCTCAGATCAATGTCTAGCTCCCTTTAAAAAAAAAAAAAAAAAACTCTTGTAATGCTATGTTGATGGTCAGACGATTAGCTATATTAAAGAGATGGCTTAAAAATCAGAGTACATTTCTGCAGATTATTGAAGGGAATTTTTATTTTATCTCCCCTTTATTTTTTAGGCTTTCAATCTGTATTTTACTAAGTTAGATTTTACGGTGTTATCTCAGGCTTACATGAAGCCTAGTAACATGCCCTTTATAAAGCTAGCCTCAAGTTAGCAAAGGTCTGTATAGTTACAGAAATTTGAAGTTGAACATCTAACATTGATTATGCACTTAAATTTAAAATGCAGGAATTCAATAAAATGATCCATTGACAAATATAATGAGTGCCTTTTCTAAGCTCTATAAAAGTTGCATGTAGAAACAGTGATTGCCTCCGATTACCTTACAGTCTGAGACAACCACAGCACCTGGTATAGCTGAATGACAGGACACATGTAAAAAGTGTTAACTAGCAACCAGAGATAGCCTACAATAAGAGCTCAGTGGGTAGTACAGAAGATTAAATCTCTAGGTGATCAGAAGAGAGATCATCCTGGCCTGGAGTAGCTGGGAAGGAATCATAGATGGTGTGAATCTTTAGGAGCCTCTAAAGGGAGAATACTGTTTAAACAAGTTGAGAGGCAAGGAAGTGGACATCCCAACAAGAACATGCATGTAAATGGCATTGTAGAACTTAAATCCATATGATGTTTTAAAGTAACAGTGAATAAATTTTTCCAAAGGAAATGAAGGTTAATGAATGAAAATAGCAGTTGAAACATTGAAAAGATAGGTTGATATCTGATTGTGGAGAGCATTAAATGTCAGTTTGGTAAATGTGGCCTTTTTCTGTATTCACTGGGCCACCATTGAAACTTTTGAGATAATCTATTTATTGATAGCAACTTGAATCCTGAATTTGTCACTAGCTTCAGATTTATTCCCCAAGCCAGGATTTCAGAAGTTATTACAATTCAAAGCACATGATGTTGGTCATTCCCTGGACTCCACCTTCTGTTTCACCTCCAACATAAGAGTAGAGAAGAAATGAGCTGCCACTGGGAGATTGCTTTCTTTTTCTTTATCTAGACAGAGTAATGTATATTCATTTCTTCTTTTGGAACATGTGATCCAAGAAGAAACAAAGTCGCACTTCAAAACGAATCTGAGGAGTGGTGTGGGAAGTATACAGATAACTCTTCTTTATACTTTAAAGGAAATTGTTTGCTGTTAACATAAAAATAAGACTCCTCACAAATTATTAGCCTTTAAGAAGAGTGACCTAGACATTATTAGGTGCTCTACCTCTTGTACAAATATAAAAAGAGTTGACTCTGGCATAGCACTTGACTAAAGAGAGCCAATGAACAGCTACCTGCGAAGTGTGTTGTACATCTGAGTTGTATGTATGGTTTACAATCAGCCATATGTCAAATGCAGTGGGTTAGCCATATTCATTCTGAGTTTATCTACACCATCTGCTGTCATATTGACATCTACTTTCTTTAACATAGAACCCTATTTATCTTAGACACATTCCGTTATTTCTCCTTTTCCTTCTTCCTTTTACATCATTCCCATTGATATCTGCACCATTTCCTGATATCAAGCAAGGAGCTTTCAGTGAGAGAGTGGTGGATGGCAGGGATAAGTGGTCAAAGGACTCAAAAAAAAGTCATAAGTTATGGATCCTGCAAACCATATAAAAAAGTGAGCCTGGAGGTTACAAAGCATATGAGTGAAACAGGAGAGAGAGTGAGAGTTTAGGATTAATGAAAGAATCAAAGAAAATGGCCAAAAGCAGAGGGGAGAATGAGTACCATATGTGTATAGGATAATGACAGAGCATTTCACGGATATTAAGATGCCATTAATGTGATCATTATAATGACACTACAAATTTTTGGCAACACATTCCAACAACAGTAGTTCCATGTAGGCTTCTGAAATCAGGGGCAATAGGTGAGGGTGTCCTTTAACTTTGTTGTTGAATTGCAGTCAGGATTAATTTGCATAAGCCTCACTTTTTGTGTGTTTTAGTTTGTTGCCAAAGAAATGTTCCAGTTCATTTTTTCACTTACCCTCATAAGGTAACTGCAAGTTAGTTTCTTAGCATCATCAGGCAAGTGTCCTGGCTCCCAACTCTTAGCTAATTCCATTAGAAAATACTGACTTTAATTGTGAAGGAAACATGAAAATTTTTTTCTGTTAAATAGTCACCAGATTTTTAAAACAATAGTAATGTTTCAGGGAGGTCTTGGACTTCTAAAGAATAGAAAGGTATATAAAAGAGTAAAAGCATGTAATTAATCAGGGTCAACAGAATTAACCTGGATATTATTTGAGCCTTTGGTTCCTAAAGCTGTGAGCCAATGATGCAGAAACAAACATTCAGCTCTTAAAAAGAAATAGCATGGACACTGGAATGGGAGGACATGATTCCTTTTCTTTCAATCCCAAATCAAATTTAAACCTGAGATTTTGGAGCTTACTCATCAGAGGAGAAATATCATGAGCTATTTGCTCTCTCCACTGTAACACAGCTCTGGCAAGCCTGAAAGTTATGTTGAGATCGTCAAATCCATAGTCAAGGACCATCTTTGTGAATCATGAAACCATATGCCACTGGATGTCTGAATTGGAAAAAAAAAAAAAAGACAAC
Source organism: Homo sapiens (assembly GCF_000001405.40). Taxonomy (NCBI): domain Eukaryota; kingdom Metazoa; phylum Chordata; class Mammalia; order Primates; family Hominidae; genus Homo; species Homo sapiens. The sequence continues at coordinate 89,021,212 of NC_000005.10, forward strand.
AAAAAACCCCAACTCTACACCAAGGAAGCCGGTGATATGATCAGACTGTGCCAAGGGCCATTTGACCATCTTACACCTTCTCAATCTATGCATTTTTAAAAATCTTTGCTACTGCTTGAACCATGTAAAATACCAGAACTCCTATAGTGCTAACAAGGAATAAAGATCTTGCACCAGATGGTGCCTCTTGTCTCCATCTATCTCTAGCCCAAACAATCTGCCAGAGTTTTGAAGAAAAATGCGATGTGATCGTGTTGCAAAGTATATGAAGAAACAGTATGAAAAGTAATCTGGCTCAAGCAATGGAACCCAGAAGGAAGGGGATTATTATCACTCTTTGAGCCTATGGATGAGGGCAATACTTTCTGCATTTTAGTCTATAAAACAAATGGTATATCAAAGTACAGCTGTAAGGTGAGTATCTCAGTGAAATGCCTCTTTGTATCTCTGCAACATATTAACTTCAGTCAATATGGTTGAAATTTCAGAAATTCATCTGGATATTTTGTTTATATCACACAAAATAAATAGTTTGATGATTTTTAAAAAGCCTTACTAGTTGTAAAGGGATAGTACACTGAACTTTTTATTTCATACTTTTTTTCTATATTGCCTTTTAGCACTGAATTTGGCCATCCTAGTGATGAGAACTTGGATACATTTTGTATATTCCTCTTGCAGAATATACTTAAGAATTTCTTTAATATGCTTAGATGAAATTTGTGTGTATGCATGTGTGTGTGCGTGCATATGTATATGATTTCTCTGCTTCTTTTTTGGAGTTTAGTGGCCATAATATTTTTAAGTATTTTCCTGCCCTCTCTTGCTTTGATCAAGGTGTTGGTACTTCTTTGTCACAAGCTGTTTGACAATTTTATCTAACATCTATAGGATTTAAAGTGCTTTAAGGTCAGAGGATATTTAATGGGAGAGAAAAGACCTCTGTGGGTTTTTTTCTAGACTCAACCCATCTGAACAAAAATTTAGTTTTATGTTTATTTTTGGTGCTTGTACTGTACTGATATACATGTAAAGGCTAAAAAAAGTAATGATCATTAGATAATCAGTAGCTTATTGGTGCTAATCAGAGTGTAGTCTTCAAACCTGTACTTATCAGGAAATGGGTAGAGGTCTAGGATGAGACAAATCTAAAGACTGAGAGTCAGAATTTAGAAACTTTTATAGCAATTTGACATAGCTGTGACATCAAATCATGTGTTCACTTTTCTAGTGGTTCATTTTATTTTTGTTTACAAAAGTATCAGTTCATGATGGATTGAAGGAAACAAAAACTCTTTTCTCTACCACGGATAGTTTAAGAAGCACTGGTTAGAGTCCACAATTTCATCATTTCATTTAAATGGATTGAAAGAGAGACAATGGATTCAACCAAGAAGTTATAGCGATCATTTAGTTATGCTTTAACCATGACTCCAGAGCTTTAATGGTAATTGTTGAAAGAAATGAATACATCTTGGAAATATAACAAAAGAGATGGAATAGGGTACACTCCTGAATCGAATGGGCTGTGTGACAAAGAGACACATGCTGCCCCAAAAACTTAATATCAGCCTGGATGGTGGTGTTAACAATACACATAGAAAAGCTTCATTGGAAAGAAGGCCTCGAAAACACTGTCCCAGAAAAGAATTCTGGCTTTTTAGTTTTGAGTTAGTGATGTCAAAACATCTATTTAGAAATTCACAGTGAACCATGAAAGACTGTGGACCTCAACTGAAGAGTTCAATAGTAGAAATTTAGAACAGATGGGAAATTCTTCCTGATACTTTTACTGAGAAAGAGAAATTCTCCTCTTCATATTTTTGGATCCTTAAGATAACACTATTTGCAACTTTTCTTCTTTTTCTTTACTAGGTAGATGTAATACATGGGAGCAGATGAAGGACAAGTGCCCAGACCACTCCTAGTTTTGCAGGTTATATTATCATATTCCAAACACTGAAAAAATGCCATAGCTAGGTTTTGCTGCTAATAAAAGTAGCAAATTCCTGCTTACTGATGATGTTTCTAAGTTAAATAAGTAAAACTTTTTTTGGTATCTCAGATTTGAAATTTCCCAGAGAAACAATATTAGAAATGAGCACTGTTTAACTCTCCGGGTTATTTCCATAAAACCTTTTTTCTTCATTAACCTCTTTGTATAGTTTAAATAATGTTTTTAGTGCTAGCAATAGAATAGTATCACTATGGTTTCTAATTGCACTGTTAGTTGATTTTATTTCAAACTTTTTGTAGGTTATAGGATTTTTATGGATTGTGACATTGTTCCATATTAATAACTGTTTATATTGTTTCTCTCTCCCTTTCTCTCATAGACAGAGACACATACAGACAGACAGACACACACACACACTCACTCATACACACATAACTATCAGATGATCTCTTTTGATTCCTTGGTCACAGGTAGCAAAAGAAATATTGTTGACTCAGGTAAAGATTTCTGTCTCCAAATCTAGGAGATGCTGGGATTCACCCAAAATATAGTGTATAATGTTTGTTTTAAGATATATATCATAGATGTCCTGACCTCACAATTGGAAAGAAATCCCTGTTATTTTATCTTCTTTTATCAAATACCTAAGCCATTACTGTTTTAGCCTTGCTGCCCAAGGAAGATGCCCATTTCTACTTGCTACTGGACTGATTCTGAGGGGAGTGGGGAGTAGAATGGTAGCTCTCCCTGAGCTTCGAGAAGCATGTTGCTTGCTGAGTGTGACCCTGACATTGAACAAATGGCAGAGGCCAAGACAATGTCTGCTAAATAATTCCCCCTTATAGCTCATTAACACATAGAAAAATATAGGCAGAGTTATAATTTCTATTTTTTTTCCCTTAACTTTCTTTCTTAACCATCTTTCTACTACTTCACATTGCCTCTCCTTTTCATGTCTTTGTGTTCATCTTTCTCTAGGGGCATCATTTGGTGGGCAGAGAGTGCCTGCTTACACACTGCATGTCATTTGGGCTGTCGTATAGTGTGCTGAGTATTTCAATGCGATTGCATCTCTATTCATCTACTGTCAGAGGTGGCAATGTTGCAGACAGGGATGTTTGTTATTGAAACAAACAAAGCATGTGGTGTTATAGATTTGTATGCAAAACCTTCAAAACAAAACTAAGTAGCTATTTACTTTAAATATGCCAATTAACTGTTACTAATGTACAGTGCACTTCTAGGTTAAGGATGATTGATAGTAACACGCAGTGAAATGTTCTTAAACTACAGTCAGGAAATGTAAATGTACAAAATGGAAAGAACCAGCAGCTGACAGCACTAGTTACATGTTTCAAAACAACACTTTCAAATCATTCCTTTATTGTTCTTTCATCCTTTTCTCTATTCTACACTTGTATAGCCTGGTAGCCAATGGTATACTAAAAAAGTTTTAGAAAAGAGCAAATGTTTTAGTATGAAGTAAACATTATGGGCCTAATCTCATTTGTTTCACTCAGGCAGAACACTTAGGAACCGCAGTGGGAGTTTTGCTTGAGTGAAGAGAATAGGCTTGTCTCTTTTAAATGTCTGACATTGAATTTGTTGCAATTACAAAACTAATTAAAAGGAGAGATGACTTCTCCTTTAGCTGCTATGTCCTGTCTCAGCAGACAGTCACCTCTTCATTTGCTCTAGACCAGCACTCTCCAATAGAAAGATAAAGAGAGCCACAAATACTAACATATATTGTTTCATAAATGAAATAATATGTATTGGACATATATATGTATATATATATATAGTTTAATTTTCTAGGAGCCAAATTTAAAAAGTGAAAAGAGGAAATTAACAATGTTGTATTTAACTTAATGTGTCCACACTATAATCATTTTAACATGTAATCAATATAAATATTAATAAAATATCTCACATTCTTTTCTGTATAACTAAGTCTTTGAATTTTCATATGCATTTTATGCTCACAGCATATGCCAACACAGAGGAGCCTCACCTCAAGTGTTTAGTACCTCTCTATGGCTAGTAATGCATGGGACAGCAACAGCTCTATACTTCACCATTTGAGAATCGGTCTAGTATTTGTGATTAAAACATTTACTTTGGACGGTCAGGAAAAACTGGATATGAATCCTGATTTAACACAATGATCTGATTGCTGTTCAATTTTGCCAATTACTGTTAAAACCTACCATTTTGTTAGGGAGATTAGCTAAATTCGTGAACTCAGCCAGCTGACTGATGATTTTATAAAGCTACCGGCTGCTAAATGTAAAAATGTTTGTGCCAGGCACACTATACAAACATTCTTCTAGTAAAATCTCAAAAGAGAGAATGGAATTACTTTAAAAATACAAATATAATATTGATATGCATCACTTAAATGTCATTTGAACATTTTCACAATACATTTCATGTTTCTCACAATGAAAGCTGGGTTTGCATTGTTAGACAAATAATCAGTAAGTGGATATTGTCAAGTTAACCCTCTAAGAAGGAGAATTGGATCTACTTAACTCCAGTTAACTATCGGTTAACACCATCTATAAACTAAAAAATGAAATGCAAACATGATTAAGCAGAAATTAAACAGCAAACAAGAGAGGAGATTAAACATGAGTAGCTAGTTTTGGAGAATAATTGATTTTTTTCCAAATCAGACAAATTGTGTTAATTTAGTGTCTCATGTGCTAGACTAGTAAATGCTGTGGAGGTTAAATGACAACACAAAGTTGTGTCATGCTTGCTCAGATTTGGGAAAGACATTTATGTGAAGAGCAGTGTATTAGTCTGTTCTCATGCTGCTAATAAAGACATACCTGAGCCTGGGTAATTTATAAAGGAATGAGGTTTAATGGACTCACAGATCCACATGGCTGGGGAGGCCTCACAATCATGGTGGAAGGTGAAGCACAAAGGCATGTCTTACATGGCAGCTGGCAAAGAGAGCACATGTGGAGAACTCCCCTTTATAAAACCATCAGATCTCATGGGACTTATTCACTATCACGAGAACAGCTTGGGAAAGACCCACCCCCATGATTCAGTTACCTCCCACCAGTTCCCTCCCATGACACATGGGAACCATGAGAGCTACAATTCAAGATGAAATTTGGCTGGGGACACAGCCAAACCATATCATTCTGTCCCAGCCCCTCCCAAATCTCATGTCCTCACATTTCAAAACCAATCATGCCTTCCCAAGAGTCTCGCAAAGTCTTAACTCATTTCAGCATTAAGTCAAAATTCCACAGTCCAGTCTCATCTGAGACAAAGCAAGTCCCTTCTGCCTACTAGCCTGTAAAATCAAAAGTAAGTTAGTTACTTCCCAGTTACAATAGGGGTACCAGCATTGGGTAAATATAACCATTCCAAATGGGAGAAATTGGGCAAAACAAAGGGGCTACAGTTGCCATGCAAGTCTGAAATCCAATAGGGCAGTCATTAAACCTTAAATTTCCAAAAATGATCTCCTTTGACTCCGTGTCTCATATCCAGGTCATGCTGATGCAAGAAGTGGGCTCCCATGGCCTTGGGCAGCTCTGCTTCTGAGGCTTTGCAGGAGCAAAGCCCCTCTCCTGGCTGCTTTCATGGGCTGGCATTGAGTGTCTGAGGCTTTTCCAGATGCATGATATAAACTGTCAGTGGGTCTACCATTCTGGGTTCTGGAAGATGGTGGCCTTATTTTCATAGTTCCTCTAGGCAGTGCCCCAGTGGGGACTCTGGGTGTGGGCTCCAACCCCACATTTCCCTTCCATACTGCCCTAGCAGAGGTTCTCCATGAGGACCCATCCCCTGCGGCAAACTTCTGCCTGGACATCCAGGCATTTCCATACATCCTCTGAAATCTAGGTGGAGGTTCCCAAACCTCAATTCTTGACTTTTGTCCGCTCACATGCCCAACACCATGTGTAAGCTGCAAAGGCTTGGGGCTTGCACCCTCTGAAGCCACAGCCTGAGTTGTACTTTGGCTCCTTTTAGCCACAGCTGAAGCTGAAACAGCTGGGATGCAGGGCACCATGTTTGGAGGCTGCATAGAGCAAGGGGGACCTGGGCCTGGCCAGGGAAACCATTTTTCCCTCCTAGGTCTCCAGGCCTGTGATGGGAGGGACTGCTGTGAAAGTCTCTGACATGCCCTGGAGACATTTTCCCCATTGTCTTGGTGATTAGTAGTTGCCTCCTCATTACTTATGCAAGTTTCTGCAGCAGCTTGAATTTCTCCCTAGAAAGTGGGTTTTTCTTTTCTACTGCATCATCAGGCTGCAAATTTTCCAAACTTTTATGCTCTGTCACTTCTTGAGTGCTTTGAAATTTCTTCCACTCGTTACCCCAAATCATCTCTCTCAAGTTCAAAATTCCACAGATCTCTAGGGCAGGGGCAAAATGCCACGAGTCTCTTTGCATAGCAAGAGTCACCTTTTTTCCAGTTCCCAATAAGTTCCTCATCTCCATATGAGACCACCTCAGCTTGGACCTTATTGTCCATATCACTGTCAGCATTTTGGTGAAAGCCATTCAACAAGACTCTAGGCGGTTCCAAAGTTTCCCACATCTTCTTGTCTTCTGAGCAGGGAAGTTCCAATCTTTCCCACATTTTCCTGTCTTCTTCTGAGCCCTCCAAACTGTTCCAACCTCTGCCTGTTACTCTGTTCCAAAGTCACTTCCACTATTTTTCGGTATGTTTACAGCAGCACCTTGCTACCTGGTACCAATTTACTGTATTAGTCTGTTCTCACACTGCTAATAAAGACATACCTAAGACTGAGTGATTTATAAAGGAATGACGTTTAATGGACTCACAGTTCCACATGGCTGGGGAGGCCTCACAATTATAGTGGATGGTGAAGGAAGAACAAAGGCACATCTTACGTGGCAGCAGGCAAGGAGAGTGCATGCAGGGACCTCCCCTTTATAAAACCATCAGATCTTGTGAGACTTATACACTCTCATGAGAACAGCACAGGATAAACCTGCTGCTGAGATTCAATTACCTCCCACCAGGTGCCTCCAACAACATATGGGAATTATGAGAGCTACAATTCAAGATGAGATTTGGATGGGGACAAAGCCAAACCATATCAAGCCACCGCTAAAACAAACCATAATAAAATAAGTGATATAATAAGCTATCCTCCAAAGTACTGAACTATTCCATAGGCATGTAGCCTTTGATTATCATGGAGAATTGTGGAAAGGCCCCAATATCTGCCTCTTGCCTGCTCTGCCATGGCCCCTTTGCTGGTGCATTTCCAGGCTACTGTGTCCTCTGGCTTTCCAGTGGATTCAGCCAGTTAGAAAGCCCCTGGAGCATAAAGGGCTGTGGAAGAGAAAAGCCAGATTATTTGTCCTGTCCTTCTGTGTCTGAGGTGACATCTCTGAAAATGTCTCAAGTGGTGTCTCCTCTGTAGCTGTGACTCCTGCTCTACACTCCTGTCACAGTACAATCTTTGCAGGGTGACCCTGACTCCTGGCACCAGTTATCACTGGTTCCTCCCCTTTTCTCCTTCAGCCTAAGAAGTCCTAGTGGCTTCTGGTGATTTCTAATATCTAGATTGCCTCAGTACCTCCCTGATACAGTGAGCCCTTCTGCTTCTGTGTAATCAGTTCCCTGTATTGTCTCCCCTCATGTTTTAACTACTTAAAGTGGATTTCCCTTGTCTCTGGTTGAACCTTGAGTCATACAGAGAGAAAGATGGATTCACAAACAAAAACGAACATAGTTTCAAATGAATTATTAAACACATTGCTTATGTGCACCCAGAAGTAGGTAGTGATCACTAAGAGCCAACAGGAATTTCCTAGGAGCAATTATGACCAATTCGCTTTGCTTATTTAATTGGTAGTTAAAGAAGTGCTGGGATTAGTACATGAGCAAGGCCTTTGAAGTGATTGCTCATGATGTCCTTGTGGTTAATAGACACATGTGGGCTGGATGATACAGATTTAGTCAGGTTTATAGGCTGTACTGGAAAATACCTAGAGGGAACCATGGCTGCCTTTCAGTATTTGAAGAGGGATTAGATTAAATCTTTGAAACACTAGAGGCTAGAGCCAGGATCAATGTTTGAAGTTCAGGGAATCTGATTTTGGCTCAATAAATAGAAGTGCATTCTAAGAATTAGACTTATTCCGAAATGGAATTGGCTCCCTCTGAGGAAGATGATTTCTGTCTCTGGTTGTATCCAGGCAGATTTAACCTGTGAGGAATGGGGGAAAAGGGATTCTTGCATTGGTAGAAACCTCAAATAGAAAATCCTGAAAGTTCCTTTCAATTCTGAAAGCTTAAGAATTTATGAATATGGTTATTTATGTCTGATAATAGCATGGGACCAGATGTAATTTTGTCATTTGACAAGACCTCAGAAGAAGCACAAAAACTTGCCCTGCCTCTGGGGGATCATTGTTCACATAAATGATTACTGTCTCAGTGAAGAACTAACTAATCAAGTTTCTTGCTTTACAGAAGCACAAATATACTAGCATTTAGTTTAAAGAGAAAATGTTTTTTCCTCATTTCAAGAAAATCAGCATATAATGCTAGGGGCCTAAAGCTTGAAGAAATACTACATAATATAATCATTGATGGATACGTATTTTTAAAATAAAGATATGCATGCAAGAAATGTGGAAGGTTTTAGTGAGGAATGACATCAGTCCTGTGTAGGTTAGTTATTTGTCAAGATGAAAATTGGCTTTATATGAAAGTTTGTATTGAAGATGATGAAGTTTTTAGCAGATATTTTTATCACCTGCTTTGACAGAAAACAGTTGAACTTCAGCTATAATCAATCAGTCATTCAACAAGTTTCATTAAGCACATGCTATACATTTAGCATCAGAGATAGCCATAGGCAAAATGCTTAAGCAGGATAATTTTTTTTTTTGCCTTTTCTCTGCTCTTTTCCACTGCGTGTTGTCATGTATTTGAAAGATTTCCAGTGGCCTCGAAGTCTCCCCACTCTACTTCTTTTTTTTTTTTTTTTTTTGAGACGGAGTCTTGCTCTGTCACCCAGGCTGGAGTGTCGTGGCGCAATCTCGGCTCACTGCAAGCTCCGCCTCCAGGTTCATGCCATTCTGCCTCAGCCTCCCGAGTAGCTGGGACTACAGATGCCCGCCACCACGCCTGGCTAATTTTTTGTATTTTTAGTAGAGATGGGGTTTCACCATGTTGGCCAGGATGGTCTCGATCTCCTGACCTCGTGATCCGCCCGCCTCAGCCTCCCAAAGTGCTGGGATTACAGGCATGAGCCACCGTGCCCGGCCCTCCACCCTCTACTTCTGAGGAATGGATCTGAGAAACTATTTTACACTAAGATGCAAGCTACCACTATGTGTCACTTAATGATGAGGATACATTCTGAGATATGCATCATTAGACAATTTCATCATTGTGCAAACTTTGTAGAGCACACTTTCACAAATATGTCTAAACCTAGAAAAGGTACCGTAAAAACTCGGTATTATAATCTTATGGGATTATTGTTGGTACCATAAGATATACATGGTCCATTGTTGACCAAAATGTCATTATGCAGCACATATCTTATATATACTAGGTAACTACTTGTTGAGTTGAAGTATGAATGAGTGAATGAAGTATGAATGAGTGAATGAGGTATGAATGAGTGAATGCATGAGCGTATTTCTAATAAGAGGATTGTATTCATTTATTTCTGATGAACATTTTGGACTGCCTATTATAAAAAAAAGTTGAATGAATTACACATTGTTCCCACTTTCAAAAGTCTCCAGGATTGTGGTGATAGACCCATGTACACAGAGCTAATTATAACACAACGGAAGTGCTGTGCTACTTAACACAATGCTATGGTAACACTGTGTATAACACAGGAGTGCGTGATTAATTTGTTAATTCTACTGCAGTGGAGGTTGGGCAAAAGGAAGAAGCTGATGGGGGAAAACTGTGGTAAAAGGAATGACATTTAAACTGAGAGAAAAAGAAAAAAAAATACTTCTGTCTCTGAAAGGAGTAAGGGGAAGGACCTTGTAAGCAGAAGAAAGAGTTTGTATGAAAACTCAAAGGTATTTGCGTTTTAACAGCTACAGATTTCCACTGACATTAACTAGAGGTAAAAGCATCATTAGTGGGAATTTAGGAGACATTTAGACTTTGCTTAGGAAGTTGCTTATTCTCTAGTATATGGTTAGCCTGGTCCATTACTTTGCTATATGGTAGTAAATTATATTGTTAGTGGCTAATATTTACTCTTAGTGGTCTGATAAATTCAAATTGTAATGCACATTTCAAAACAGAAATATTTAACTTCAGCTATATACATTCTTTCTTTTAAAACCAACTTCTGCTGGGTCATTTTTCAGTAAAGTATTCACTTTGTAGGAGCAAACTCCTCTACAGCATGATATATAATAATATTAATGTATTACTCTCAGGATTTTTTTCTTTAAAAGCATGTGTTTATAACTTCAGCTGTAGTCTCTTAACATTTAGATCTTTTAGCACCTGACAACTTTTATGACAACTCACAAAGCAAAGACACCTCCCACATCTAGAAAAAGCACATCTAGATTTGCTTTTTCTCTCTTGGGCAGAAGCATTGAAAAGAACAACTTTCAAGTCAAAAGAATCAAGGTGAAGAGAATGGATACTCATGCCCATGTGAATTTGCTGCCCCAAGTCTACTGGAGGATCAAGCTGCAGGTTTCAATAGCTATAGCCTGAAGAATCTCTGTAATGAACTAAAACAATCAGTAAAAGATCAGTTGCAGTGGAAGACATTATACTCTAGATTTTTCTAGTATTATTAAATTTGAAAATGATTTATTCCAAATTTTAACTTAGCTTTTAATTTTACTAGTGTCAAAATGTTGTACTACTTTGGACAACTGATTTTTCCAATAGAGAGTCAATAGCATCTTTGCAGGGTGGTTTAAAAGCCAATAATTTAATCCATATTCTACTAAAACTTTTAATATAAGCATTTTACCCAGATGTATTTTTTCCTTGTTTTAGAAAATCTGATTTTAATTGCTAAAACTCGTTTTTAAATATTAATTCAATGAAAGAAATGCTATGGTTTTCTACTTTTTCATTTCTTAAACTCAAGGGAAAACATGGGTGAAAAACAAAAAATTGTTCTGCATAGAGTCTTCTTTAATGTCTCACTTTGGTGATGTATGAAATAAAAACCAAATTGTTTTAACCAGCTAAAAATCTTAGGTTTGAATTATCCAGAATGCTTGTGTTTTGCAGTCATTTCTTGTGATTATTTTATTTTGTTCCTCTGGTATGCACCATCGTATTAACACATGCTAAGTAAGGGGCCATTTTTAAACACACATGCTTTTGTTGCTAAATCTGCTTCTAGTTTTGTCTGGGCAAAAAAATATTCTGGAGTTTCTGGTAAGAATGGTTAAGGCAGGATGAGTGGAGAAAGCAACTCAAAGGGAACTACAGGAGACAAACTGGGGTTTATTTGATACGTAAAGGCCATCTTTTGTGACTCTGCTCTTTTAGGGGGTGTATGTATCATTTTCTCATTTGAATGTCTTTGTGGTGCAAATATAGGCAATTTAATCAAACCCATCAAAGAATCTTAGTCATTTATCTGTGTATTATGTGTACTTATTACAGTGTAGTCAAGTGGACTGCATTTGACTTTTAGAACTAACTGAAATGATCTGTCATACAGTCACTACCAGTAGATGATCACCTGAAACTGAAGTGTTCATGGTTATTTATTGGAAAGCATTTTTAAGGAGACATTTCTTTCCAATGTTGCAACTGTATTAACACTGTTTGGTTGTAACAGGGACTCATGTCAGATTAGCTTAATTAAAGCATAAGAATTTATTATAAGTATACCACACAGAGCACCAGGGTAGGAGATGGAACAACTGGGCCTCATGAGGGACTGCATCTAGGAATCTGGATGGGATCTCTCTCTCTCTCTCTCTCTTTCTCTCTCTCTCTCTCTCTCTGTCTCTCTCTCTCTCTCCCCTCTCTGCTTCTAGGTGTACCTCTGCTTCAGTATTCTCTCTGCTTCTTCATCCTTCATTCCATCTACTTTCTCACAGCATCCACATTTACATGTTCTCTCTTTTCTTTAGCCAAGTAGTCTTCAGCTTAGATTTCTAAGAAAGAAAATCTGATTGACCCTGATTGGGGATAGGTATTGACCGTTGGTTGACAAGACCACTCCAAAGATGACCCAGTTAAAAACGGAATCAATTCAGTACACATACACACACACACACACACCCCACAGCCTCTGGATTTTCAACAAGTACAGTATACTCACCAAAACTTTACTATGTAAGGCATTTAAAAATACTTTTGCAATATATTTTAGGAAATTTAATATAGAGAGGTAACTTGTATTGGAAAAAGAACAAGGGCTTAAGGAAGTGACAGCTTTGCTTAGGTTTTTTGCACTGACATGTAGTAAGTTATGGGGCTGTAGGGAGTTTTCCATTTTTACAGTCTCAGTTTCCACACCTGTAAATTGGGGATAACGATACCTGTCTTACAGGAGTTCTTCTGATAATGAACAATAGTATGCATGAAATGACTAGAACAGTGTGTAAATTCATGCTAATAGTCAATAAAAGGAGCTATTACTACTATCTTTATATTTTGTGTGATTTAGGGTCATATAATCAGCATTTTAAAATCAGATGAGGTCATATATGTTGTTGGCTCAAAGAAGCTACCTTGAGGCACTCCCTGAAGAACTTCAAAATAAATGCATATTCTTTTCTCAAAGTTAACTAAAAAGTCAACTCATAGTGGAATAGAGAAAGGTATACAAAGTCAATTTAAAGCCATCTTTCCCAAGCTTCTGTTATTTTCTTTTCTCTCTCTCTCTTTTTTTTTTTTTTTTTGAGACAGAATCTCACTCTGGTCACCCAGGCTGGAGTGCAGTGGTGCAAGCTTGCCTCACTGCAACCTCTGCCTTCCAGGTTCAAGCAATTCTGCTACCTCAGCCTCTGAGTAGCTGAGATTACAGGCATGCGCCACCATGCCTGGATAATTTTTGTATGTTTAGGAGAGACGGGGTTTCACAATGTTGGACAGGCTGGTCTCAAACTCCTGACCTCAAGTGATCTGCCTGCCTTGGCCTCCCAAAGTGCTGCAATTCCAGGTGTGAGCCACCACGCCCAGCCCAAGCTTCTGTTATTGGTAAACTTTTTCCACAAATTGTTGATATCTCTGTAATACCTAAACAATTATTTAATGTTTTTCACTAAATTAACTTTATATGAATTCATCATTTTAAGTTATTAACCTCATGTTTGTAATACTATTTTTGAAATTAGGATTTGACATACTGGTTATATATATTTTCCTAATAACCATGATCATAAATGTGTAACTATTCATGTAAAAAAGAGTTCATCCTTTTACCATATAAAATGAACTTGAGGTAACACTGACTTCACAAGACGTCTTCAGAGCCAATACAATTGACCTAAATCAGAATTAAAACAACATATTTAAAGAAATAAATATGTCATTCAGAAAAAGAGAGTTGGTCAGCCCTGGAACAGAGCAGAAATGAGTCACCGTGGTGACCATCAGCTGACAGCCTCAGCACTCTCTGGGTACCCTGCAGGCCCATGCAGTCAGCTCCACCCTTTGGCAGGTCTTTCCATCTCCTGGAGACAGACATATCACAAGCCACTTAACTTCCCTATGATTCAGTTTATTTGTTTGTGAAATAGGGATATCATATAGTTCTCAAATATTTGACATGAGAAAGCATAAAAGAATGTCCTTGCTATGGACTGTTTGTGTCCTCTCCCCATTCATGCCCCCAGTGTGATGGCATTTGGAGGTGAAGTCTTTGGGAGGTACTTAAAATTCCGTGAGATTATGAGGGGGGCCCTATAATGGGATTAGTGCTCTTATAAGAAGAGGAAAGGACCAGAGTCCTCTCTCTCTGCTATGTGAGGATACAGCAAGGAAAATCACAAAGAGGGCCCTCACCAGGAGCTGAATCAGCTGGCATGCTGATCTCAAACTTCCCAGCCTACAGAACTGAGAAATAAATTTTTGTTGTTTAAGCCACCCAGTCTATGATACTTTTGTTATAGCAGCCCAAACTGATTAAGACTGTCCTGAATAAAACTTTTTAAAATTAAAAACAAAACTTTTTACTCTAATCTTCTGTTGGGTAGGGCAACTTGACTTATCAGGCTTCATGAGTTGTTTTTCCGTTGGCAGTTATATAAATTGGCAAAGAGGCCTTACATGTCCACCTTATGAACTTTGTGAGACAACTCTGATAATTAATTAAACTGCAAGTCCCAGGGAAGACCCTGGTTAGTGTTAAAGGTGCCAAGGTAAATCCTATACTGGTCTGGACTCCTGAGGGCTAATTGAATTTCTCAAGGTATCAGGGTGCAAATGCTTCTAACACTTGTAATATGCTATATAGTTTATTAATCAGCTATTTACAGAAATCTAGCTACAAATATGACATTGCCAATAGGAAAATACTCTAAAGAGATTCCTGGGTCTCATAGTTTATCATCTCACTAAGGAATTCACAGGTGCATACATGATTTTTTTATATATATGAGTACTTCTCCATATATTACCTCACAATAACCCTATGTAACAGTTGAAAAAACTGAGGCACAGAACTTAAATGACTGACTGAAAGTCCACAGTGAACGTTTAATGGTGGAACTAAGATTAGAGTTCAAAGTCCAGCATTCTTTACAAAGTGGTTGCAAACCCCAGGATTGTCTTCTTAGAGGGCAGATACCCAGGCCCCTTAAATAGATACTCTACATTGGGTGGATTTTTTTTTTAATTGAGTTGAGGTCTCTCTCTGTTGCCCAAGCTGGAGTGCAGTGGCATGATTGTGGCTCATTACAACCTCAAACTCCTGGACTCAAGCGATCCTCCCACTTCAGCCTCCTTGGTAGCTATAACTAAAGGGGTGCCTGCCACTGCACCCAGCTGATTTTTGAAGAATTTTTGTGTGTGTGTATGGAGACAAAGTCTTGTTATATTGCCCAGGCTGGTCTTGAACTCCTGGGCTCAGGCAGTCGTCCTGCCTTGGCCTACTAAAGTAGTGGCATCTCAGGCATGAGCCATTGCACCCAGCCAGAAATCTGCATTTTAATGAAACCTCAGGTGATTCTAGTGCGGATCATCTGCTATGATAAGCATCATATCAGGTTATGCAATGTTCTTATGAAGTAACTTGGCAGCAGTTGCAAAACAACACACAAATATGTTTAAAATTCTAGAGTATGGAGTTATGCCGAGACGCAAGTGATGAAGACGAGGGTGCCAGAGAGGACAAGATCTTTTGTGCAGGCTGGTGCTGACCACGCACACAAAGGGGACATTTAGGTTGTCTGGAATTCCTTCAGTGATTTGGACAATGTTTGCTCATCACTTCTTTCAGCTCACACAAGAAATCCCAGGAGCATTTTGCCTTAAAATTCTTATTCCTTTATTCGAAAAAATAAAAAATTAAAACTGGACTCAATGTCTTAAATTAGGAAAGAATTCAGCATCAAATGTTTCTTTTTGCCCTTATATGGATTTTTTTGAAAGCTCTGTCTAAAATACCATGTTCTTTCCATGTCATCTTCATTGTGAATGCAGGCAACAGGATTCTGCCCTTGGATGGCTTTCAGGGGAAGAGACAGAACAAAACAACAAAACACTTTATGTTTCTTTTCAACGGCACAGATTTTTACATGTGAGGGTCAGGGTTGAGTTCAAAATGTTGCTCATTTGGGAGCAATGAATTTCTGTTTTTCAGATGATATGAAAAAATATAGAGTAAACGAAGCATAGGAAAACACTGACAGTTACTTTGCAACGATGTGAATGGAAAAACTGTACAGATTGCATTATATTTGAGTGGACATTTTAGCATGAATACTCATGTGTAATTCATCTCTTACCCTCAAAGTTAGAAGCCTATGACTCTGGCAAGCAGGCATTTGTTCGGAACCCTGGCTTTCAACAGCCATCACTGTGTACCGGGAGCCAGTATGGGATTCCCCCTCAGGGGATGGAAAGTGGCAGGAAGTGACCTCTCAATTGGACCATTGTCTAAGGAAATGTTCTAAACGTCTTTCCCTCAGCCTGGTTGGAGATACATAATCAACATATTTGTGCCATGAGAAGGGAGCCCCAGTCAGGGCCAGTCCTTCTGCAAACAGCTCCTTCTTATTTGTTCTTCCCTTTTGTCTAGCTTTGGGGAATCGCTGTGATTCAGCACTTAGGTGAGTGGTTATTCCTGTCTCCCAGATCATACGTCCCTTCACCTAACTTGTGAATTTCCCTCTGATATCTTACTGATGACATTCCAGAAAGCAGCATATCCAAGACTATTACTGGCTAGATACAAGGCAGGGACATTTGCTATTTATGGCCTCTGCCATTTCTCACTGTATTCCTTCATTTTAATATATGCATGTCTTTTCTGCTGGGTCAAGCGTAAGTGTCTGGAGGATATGTACGTTACTCATAATTTTAAAATGGCTACTATTATCATTATTTGTAGAGACAGGATCTCACTTTGTTGCCCAAGCTGGTCTCAAACTCCTGGGCTCAAGTGATCCTCCCACCTCAGCTTCCCAAAGTGTTTGGATTGTAGGAATGAGCCACTGCACCTGGCTGAAATGGCTTTTAGTTCAGAGCTTCATGTATAATGGTCCCTCAATGAATGAATGAATGAATAAATAAATAAACTTGCAGTGTCAATGATTATAGGGACAGTCCCTTTTCCCTCTGCCCTTGCTCCAAGAGGTCTTTTGAGTTACCTGTCCTTGAAACTAGATCTGGCTTCAGCCCTGTGTCTTTGCTTCTGGCTTAACTGCCATGGTGCCATTTTGTACACATTGTAAACAAAATGGAAAGATAAGAGTGGGTGAAATAAGCCATGGCCAGAGCTACTGGTCAAAATCATGACAAAGGCAAGATTTATGCTTAGTGTCTTCCACCATTTCTGCCCATGGTCACTGACTCCCTCTAGGTGGGCCCCTGCTTTGCCATCAAACTTTTACCAGGTTCACCAAAATACTCACTGAACTTAGAAGGCACCACATCCAAATCGTTCTTTATCTATTATCTGTCTGAGCTTATCTGTACTCCATCTCAAATGCCCTTACTTTCTGCTAAGTGACAATACTTGGTAATAGATGAATGAAATAAACCAGGCTTTCCTGTTATAAGACCTAGCCAATATGGTACCCTTCTCAAGAATCAAAATGTCTCAACTTGATTTAAAGACCCTTTAGTATTTGTGCTAGGTATATTGATTTGCTTTTAATAAAATCTCTTTTCTTTACTTTTTTTTTTTTTTTTAAGAGATGGGGTCTCACTCTGTAAGCCCAGGCTGGAGTACAGAGGCATAATCATAGCTCACTGCAGCCTCAAACTCCTGCACTCAGGAAATTCACTTCTGCCTCCAAAAAAGCTGGAACTACCAGCACACACAACCACACCTGGCCAAATTGCCGTTACAATCTCTTAAATTCCTTCCTTCTTCTATGTTTATTTACATGGTTGCTGTCCTGGTTCTGGCAAAACAGGTCTGGTTTTCTTGCTTTGTCTCTCTTAGCAGTCCATCCAATGATCTGTTGCCAAATTGATCTTTTTTAAAACATCTCTTTTATCATGTTACTTTTTGTCTAAAATTGCACTCATTGATTCACATTGTATTGCCTGCATGGTGGACTTAAAACATATAGGCCACCTCTTTCCCACTCCTCATGGTAGACATTAGTAATCAATCATTCTTTGTTTGCCTAAGAGCCCATGGCCTAAGAACACAGATTTCTAATGAACCACTATCAATTGCTAGGAGATCTCCACATGAAACTTCTTTCTCATACTCAATGGACCACAATGGGAAATTCAAAGTCAAAGTCCATACCCAGGAATTCAACATAAGTTAATCCCATTATGCCTTTCATTGAATGTAGGTACAAAATCTTCCTACTGTGCTCCAGCAAAATTCTGAACATAACTCTCTACTGAATATACTCTATTCTGACCAGACTCTGGGCTACTCTTTCTGAAATTCCACTGCTGGTAATGTTCACTCTACTTTTCTAACTTGATCCAAACAGGCCCGTGTTTCAAGGCCAAGCTTGAATTCTTCTCACTCCCTGAATACTTCCTAGGACATGTCAGGCAGGGATTGTCTTAACTCAAAGAACTGTCTATGCCACTCATTTAGCCAACAAGTATTACAGATTTGTGAATGGGCTCTCTTGTGGCTATTATTTACTTGTCGATTGTGTGCCTTCTTTTTTTTTTTTTCTTTTTTTTGAGCCTCACATTTTCTTTTTTTTTTATTGTTATTATACTTTAAGTTTTAGGGTACATGTGCACAACGTGCAGGTTTGTTACATATGTATACATGTGCCATGTTGGTGTGCTGCACCCATTAACTTGTCATTTACATTAGGTATATCTCCTAATGTTTTCCCTCCCCTCTCCCCCAACCCCACGACAGGCCCCGGTGTGTGATGTTCCCTTTCCTGTGTCCAAGTGTTCTTACTGTTCAATGGGACTGTAAACTAGTTCAACCTTTGTGGAAGACATTGTGGCAATTCCTCAAGGATCTAGAACTAGAAATACCATTTGACCCAGCCATCCCATTACTGGGTATATACCCAAGGGATTATAAATCATGCTGCTATAAAGGCACATGCACACATATGTTTATTGCAGCACTATTCACAATAGCAAAGACTTGGAACCAACTCAAATGTCCATCAATGATAGACTGGATTAAGAAAATGTGGCACATATACACCATGGAATACTATGCAGTGTGCCTTCTTTTCTAGATAGATTTCAGAAGGGAGGGACTACATTTCTACCTCTTTCTATTTTTCCTAGTGCTAATTTACAACATCATATGAAATGCAGGCCTTTATTACTTGATTTCAGATATGGAGGCAGGTGAGTATAGGAGAGATTAAAATTACATTCACAGACACATACCATATTTCTCATTCTCTAGCATAAAATATTTCTAAACATGGAATTGTACATCTGGGTGACAACCCTCAAACTGCAATTGGGAGCTAAGGATATAATCTTTAAAACAATTTGGTATAGTTTTGTTTTGTAGCTAATGTTTATTAAGTACCTATTGTGTGCCAGGCACTGTGCTGAAGATTTACACACAGGATCTTTTTTAATTTTCACAACTACCTTGTGAGGCAGAGACTATCCTATCTTCAATTTGTAGATGGAAAAAAAAAAAACCAGGCTCAGAGAGCTTATATAATGTACCCAAGGACACAGAAATGGTATATAGCAGAGAACCGGGATTCTACCTGGCTGTCTGCTGTCTGACAATTGGGCCTTTTCTCATCATCACCACTAATATAGCAAAATACAATACAGTGAAAAGATTACCTCACAGATGGATTTGGCGACTGCTTTTAGAATTTCAGTGAGTAACATGAAAACTTAAAGAAGAGTGATAAATGTCAGGATGCTTCTGTGGAAGAAATGTGATTGTTTGGTTTATCACAAGTGAGCAAAGAATGCTCAGAGACTGGACTGGTATTTAACAGTATAAATCTGAAATCATGAGAACAGACTAAAGGAGTGCAATAGAGAAGGGAAGAGAGTGTCTGGGAGGCTGCAATACGGTAGGTTTGAGAAAAATAAGGGAAGGGGCTGAAAGTCTTCTGGAATAGGCTACCCCAGAGAAAAAGGAAGAGGGATAGACTAGCCTATTGTAAGTGAGGAGATGCTAAGAGAGAGCATAATGAGAAAATGGGCCATGTGTAATGACTGTCTTAGCTATCGTAACTCAATGGAGTGTAGTTCATACATTCTCTTACACTAATAAAACTGCTGTTCCCTATACTGTATTTGCGAAATGGCAATGGCTAAGAAGCCAGAGAGAGCTGGGGAAAGATTGAAAGCCATGAACGCTCCCTTTGATGGGACAGTTCCTTCCAGTCTCCATCTTAGGCATTTATACTTGTAAGGGTAACTTGAGATGATCCAGCAATTGTCAAATGAGTGAGTTCTGTGGTGCACCTCCAAGTTTTGTCTTATCCTGCAAGCCCACAAAAATCTTCCTATGTAGGATTAGTCCTTAAAACAGTCCTCACTGGGGAGGAAAAGGTGAGGACGTGCCCCCTCTTCTCTGTGCCCGTAGTTTTAATTGAGCCTCAAGTGAGTTTCCTTAGAAGTCAATTTCCCAAAGGGGACAGGGAAGCGTGTGAAACAAAATGAGAGGTGGGGTCATAATTCCCAGAAGTCTTCTGACTTCTTTTTAGATCCTGGTCAAGGATAGAGCTGTTTGTTGTAATAAAAAACTCAGTAGCAGGAAGTTGAAATGGAGGTTAAACTTAAAAAAAAAAAAGAGCTAATTTTAGCTCCATTCAAAACCCAGGAAAAAAAAATCAGTGTTTACAAAATTAAGATTAATGGGCTGCCAAAATTCAACTCATTAGTTAGCAACACTACAATGTAGTGATGAAGTTTGTGCTGGTTGGACTTACAGGGAATTAAAACTATATGATTGGGAATGCTTTTCCCCTTGCATTTGACTTAATGATTATGGACCTTTCTACTGAAAAGAGTGGGTCTAAAAATTCCTGCCTAAGAGTTTACCAATCTCACTTGTAGTTTACTCATCTCACTTGACATAGAGGGGGGTCTTGTCAAAATATACTGAGTGCTGAAGATCATGGTTATTATAGCTTAAAAGCTTTTGCAGATATTGATCTAGACACTAGAATGTCCCTCCTTGTGTAGATAAAATACTCCTGGAGACTTGAAGGAAATACACCAGGAAAAAAAAACCCAGAAAAACAGAGACTTCTTTTCTTTTTGACAAATATGGAGCTCTTTTCCTTCCACAGGGAGGCAATCAATTGAGATGATGGTTTGTGGAAGGCCTTAGGGTGGACAAGAGCTGATTGGGTGTGCTATGCATAAAGGTCCTTTCTCATACAACATCTCTGTGCAGGAGGTGGGCAGATGGCAGGCCAGCTTGGGGGGATAATTGGAGAACAGAATGAGAGGACAGAGCGTGTGTATAATGCTGCGCTGAGATAACACATGCAGAAATCCCTAACTCCGTGTCTGGCACAAAATAAGGACTAAAATGTTCATTTGGTGTTTCTATTGTTGTAGTCATATATATTCATTTTAGTTCAACTTTTAAAGTTGCTTTATTGCTTCACCAGGGGATCTCAAGTTAACCTCTGACTGGTGATCAGTGTATCAGAAAAATATTATGTTTCATGTAGATATTATAACCAACATTGGCCCTGTAAGAGCTCTCTTGATTTCAGAAAAGAGTGTCTTTGAAAATTCCCTTCAAGTCCCATGAAGTGTATATCTGTGTTTCTTTGAGTCTGATTATCCACCTTACATCTGTACAGAAGTTAGCAATTAGTCTTCAAAGGGGCTAATGGGAAAACTGTCCCTTCATAGAACCTTTAGAGGTGGAAGCGGCCTTAGAAATTCTGTGGCTTAATTTTATGAGAAGACAATGATTTCTTTAAAGCCACAAAACTAGTTAATGGCAGAGAAGGAGTGAGAGGATAGCTCTTTTGAATTCTAGGCCAATATTCTCTTTCCTCAATAGAAGATTAGAGACTTATTTCTTGTCTAAGTTTTTTGAGTAGACTTCTTAGGCAATATAAAGTATAAGCTGGACAAAATATAGGCTGTCCTGAAAGGGAACCTTCCCTTATAGGGTGATGAGAGAGGAGTCAGTAGGACTGAGTGCATTTTTATTGCAATCTTTCCAGCCCACTTGCTGGCTGTCACAGGATAGCCCGGAAGGCTGTACAGCTGTGCATGATTAGGGCATGTAGGTCTCTCTCCGGGCCAACTATAACCTCAGGTGTGGTTTTCCTTATGTTACAGATCAGCTAGGAAGAGACTACTCCCAGTGGGCACAGCATTTCCTTGAGGAGATGAGGAAGATGGGAAAGATTCTAGTTCTCTGAGACAGTGGAGTATGACAATACTTTCCCCCCTTTTGGCTCATACTCAGTCTACCTTTGGTTCTGAGAATACAAAATTCAGGATGCAAAAGAAACATTAGACCCTATGTTTGCCCTCTTCAGTGTATGTTTGCATATGTTTGGGGAGGAGGGAGAAGAAGGAAACTCCTGTATTTTAAGTGGTGATTGGAGGGGTTTGCTGGGAGAGAGTGAAGAACACATAAATGGAAGAGGAAAATAATAAATAATAGCTAGAGACAAAAATAATTTCAGGTTGCTAATTATTACTAAGCTGATTAACTTAAAAGAAATTAAAAGAGCAGATATGATCCTGGGTAGCTACATCATCATCACATCTTTGAGACCACAGTTTCTAGTCACTATTACCAGAGAGTTAATTAGCCCAAACTATGGCTGCTGGTTGCTTTAGTTGTCTTCAACTTGAAGTTTTTTTTTTTAAATATATATATAAGTTTTAAAGCTAATTAGGATACACCTGGGGCTCATAGTGAAAGCCAATACAGCTTTCCCCCAGGAGGTTATTTTCTTATATAAGAAAATTTGAAAAAAGGAAAAATGTCAAAGGAAAAACATAATCTATAGATTTAGAGAAAAAGAAGAGTGTAACCATTTCAGCTCAGTAGACCACAAGGTCAGACAAACGTTGCCTGGAATTGAATGCTGTGTGCTTCTGTTTGAAGAAGGAGGATGCTTCCTAGATGTGTCAGGGGAACTACCTGCCTCCTTCCTTATCATCAGCTGTAACACAGGATGTGGTGTTGCTGGCTGGTAATCTGGAAATGGCTTGTTTGTTTTTACAGATCTGTAGAAAAGATTCAACAGTTGTAAAGGATGGAAAGACTCAAAACAGTATGGGACTCATAATAAAGAAAACTAGGGGGAATAAAATTAGATATAACAGCTTGTGACCATAGAATCTGCTCCAGGTATCCGTTGGACAGAGGTGCCAAATACATCTTCTTGTTTCAAAGAAAAGCCAGTTCTTTCCCCACACCCTCCAGCACATGGTCTTAGAATATCCAGACCCCCCACCCCAGCACCCTTTTTTAAAAAAAATTCAGAAAACCTTTGTATTCTTCTAGATACTGGAACTGGTTTATTTATGGGTTTCATAAAGAAAAGGCACTTCTCCTAGAACTCCATAGGCTTGTGGCTCTCTGTTTCTACCAGGCCTTTCTGGATAGCATCCCTCAGATTAAAGTCCCATTACACACTGGAGAAAGAGGATTTTCTAATGCACAACTGGGATAATGTTACTGTTCAGTTCCTGATTCCACTGAAAAGTTATGCTGAGTTTAAAAATCCTCTTTTCTCTTTCCACAAAAGTGAGTGTAGGGCACCCACTGAGAGCTCCTGTCTGCTCTCTAGAAGATGCTAAAGTTGATTCCTGTTGAATTCTCTTGAAGACTGAAATTTATTTGCCATAAATCAATGCTTTAAAACAGAGTCAAAGGCTGAGGAAATTTGAGAAAAATACCTTTTTTCCCATCTTCAGGAAATAAGTGAACAAATAAATAAGCCTTAGTGCCCAATACCTGAAGAAATATGAAGTGAGGAATAATGATTGCCATCGAGTGTTAGGAATTTAGACATGGGTCTTTTTGCTTCCAGTTTCATGATCTTCCCACCGCCCGTGAAGTGCCACGTGGCCTCCCATATTGCTATACTGTAGTAAGGAAGGAAAAATCTTAGACAGCACAGACAATGCTGTACTGTTGGAAAGCTTTGCCTTGTGTAAGCACAGTCAGCTTGTATATTGTTGACTTTCCCCAAAGGGGAGTTCAGGGAAGCCAGAGTGTGTTTATCAGCTCTATCTTTTTCTCCCCTGCCTACCCTACCCCAGATTGAGGGTATGTGGTTGCTCCCTGGCTCAGGGAATGCTTGGGTATGGGGGGACCACCCAGGCTGTTTGGCCTGTGACTACTGCAGAGTCACCGCAGAAGAAGAAGCAGGGAGAATGGGGCTGACTTTGAAGTTTGGGGATGGGAGAACCAGGGCTATTTTAGGTTTGGCCTGAGGTAACTCACACTTTGTGTAACCTCTCCCCCAATATTTGTATACAGGGAACATCAGACTATCTTGACTACATTAAAAAGAAATAAAAGACCACAAATAAAAACTAATCCGCAGTGGGAGTATGCAGGAGTCCTAATTTTTTTCTTGTTGCTGGAGGTGGTGGCAAAGGGTGAGCGTTAGCAATCAGCTGCATGTTTGCCAACATTAAGCCTCTTGTACCACCTGAAAGTGAGCAATCTGTTTCCTCATCAGATTCTTTAGGAGATGCTGGCCAGTCTTCACATGTTGCAGTGAGGTGAAGCTTCCTACATTTTTAAAAGCAGGGATCCTAGCCTGTCAAAGTCTCAAAGTATGGCAGAACATTCTAAGAACCTGCAACAACCTAAACGTAGTTGATAGAATAAATGGCATACCATTTGCTAGTTCTGTGATCCTGGAAAAGTTCTAACTTTCCTAATCTGTAAAATGAGGTTAAGGATACCTCTCTCAGAGTGTTATTGTGAGAATTAAGTCACATACTACATGTAAAGCCCTAAGCACAGTGACTGGTTGATAGAACCAATCCAGAAATGATGATTCTTGTTACTTGTTAGATAGGTGGCTTTATTTTATTAAGCCTTTTGTGAGAGTGGATCTTAATATGTGGAAGTCACTGAAAGTCCAGCCAAACTTGAGTCCAACCAAAGGGATATGGTTTGGCTTTATTATCTAAGCTCTGAGCCAAGCTGTCAAAAAAGATTGAACACGTATTAGGAGAAAAAAATATATTAAGTGATGAGGTGGGTGTGAGTGAGACCGTAAAGAATCAATACCACTATATTATTATTGGTTTGGCTCTTCCTCATTTATAAACACTGAGCCTGGTTTGAATGGTTCAATTTCAGCCCCATTGACAGGTTCTTCATTTTGTTTGTAAAATCTTGGGCACATTAGGGAAAAGATTTACGTACTTCATGCCCTGTTTTTGTCATTCTGCATGGATCATATGTACTCTATATCTTTGTACTGTATCGTGTGAAGCAATTTCAGGTTTGTTTTGTTTTGTTTTGTCTAATAAGCATGTTGTTTTTCAAATCAAACAGTTTGAGATTGAAGTCGATAATAAATAATGAAATGGCTTGACCACATTGTACCAGGAACTCAGAGAATGGAAGCTTTGCCCCTCTCCTTCACTCCATCCCCAGGATCCATGCTCCCCGAGGTTAGCAGTGTCCATCAGAAAGCTGCCCTCTGCCCTCATTTGTGTTTTATGAGGAAACACAATATTACAATGAAAGAAATCCTGATACTTTCCTTAAGGCAGAAGCACTGAATTTATGTTATCTTGAACTTGAACCTATTCTAGGACTATGCATATCTTCTTTTGGTCAATAGATCAAAAGCAGTGAGCACAGTGGCTCACACCTGTAATCCCAGCACTTTGGGAGGCTAAGGTGGGAGGATCGCTTGAGCCAGGAGTTTGAGATTAGCCTGGGCAACAAAGTGAGACCCAGCCTCTACAAACATAAAAAATAAATAAATTAGTGGAGTATGGTGGTGTGTACCTGTGGTCCCAGCTATACAGGATGCTGAGGCAGGAGAATCACTTGAGCCCAGGAGGTCGACACTGCAGTGAGCTGTGTTCATGCCACTGCACTCAAGCCTGGGTGACAGAGTGAGACCCTGCCTCAAAATCAATCAATCAATCAAAAGCTAGTTACAAAAAAGAGAGGTAACAATGATCCTGACCTTGTAGGAAAGTGAAGCAGTGTCTCTGAACAATGAAGCAATCTAACAGGACAGACAGGAAAGTGAAGACCCAGTTTCACACTGGGAAGTTTAAAAAAATACTGAACGTTCTTATGGAATACTTGTTTTTTCTTTTTAATGCCTTTATTCATATTTCTGTTGTTTTTACCACTATCCTTTTACTATCCAAAGGATTGATACCCAACTCCCATGAATAGATTTTTATTCGGGTAGGACCTACTTATGTTTTTACTTGTTTAGGGCCTAGCTCAATGCTTGGTATTTGCTAAAGTCTGTAATAACTAAATGTATAAAAGAGCTTTTTCATTGATCACTAACACTCTCTGAATTATTGTAGGAGTTTGTCCATACTCATCAGTCCTTGAATTATGAACAAACATTTTAGTACTTGATTTTCTATTTTAGTTTACTGATGCTTCTTATCATATTTTAAAATCATTCTGGACAAGCAAAAACCTTATTGTCTAACTATACTTTTCATTTTATAAGATTCACAAATCTCTCTTCAAATCTTTAGTTTTTATTTTTAGAGGTGATTTAACATATCAGATAACTTTTAAGTATCAGGACAAATCATTCATTTCATTTCAGTTTAGGAAAATGCTATCACCAAGTTCCCTTGCTGCCAAGGCATAGAATTCATGCTATTCCGTGGTCATACCTACCAAGGGGAGAATATGTATTCAATTGCTAATGCTCCACTGGGACTCCTGACAAAGTCATTTTATTATGCCCAGTTTTAAATTGCATGCAGTGAGACTCTTCCCAGGAGCATGGCAATGTCCATTGCTCATGCTCCAGAATTGCTGTGTGGTCAGGTCAGGACTTTATTCTTAATGCTCACTGGGTCATACTTGCTTGTGGGTTTTTATGTGGGAAGCAAGGCAGACACTGTGTGTCAGGGTGAGGCCTTCTGCCTCTTGCCCAGGGAAATTACTGCCACATGAAGGTAGGGCAGGAAGCCAGAGGCTGTCCCAAAGCCTTTGGACAATTTGCCCTTTTTCTTGTTTACATGTGCACTTGTGCTAGAGTGAGAGAATTGTGTTCTGGCAACATGTATCCCCAACTGCCAACTGCTCACATTTCTGGCTGCTGCATGAAGTTGTGTATTGTAACTAGCTTTCCTAAAGGAATTCAACCAGTTGAAAAGGTTGCCTAACTTTGCTGAATATTTAAGGTTACCAATCCAAGTTAGGGGTAAATGTTTTCATTAAAACTAATCATCCCCACTTGGGCATACAGAATCATTTCAGCAGGAGGTATAACCTATACCATGCGTTCAGTGTGAATCGCATGTTCTTGTTCCTACTGCAAAGAACCCAGAAGTTCTGGCAGTGTCCTTCAAGGGATGGTAAAAGTCCAAATTCATGCCAGAAATCCCTCATACATGTGATGAAGACTGAGTAGATTAAAGATCATTGATACCAATTTCGATGGAGTAGCCATGTTAAATATAAATAGGTTAATACTGGAGGCAAGAGTAAATACAGAGGATTATACATATTAATTTTAATGGGGGGGGGCTATGCTATACAGAATAACTGGTTAGTAAACTCAGCAGTTTTGTTGGATCAAACCCATCAGCCATTAATAGGTGGAAATAATCATCCTCCTGGTTGAAAGACCAAAACATCTAGTTTGGAAATTTAGGAGTCATATGCCAAGAGTGAAAAGTATCTCTTTAGCAAATAAATCAGGCAATTCTCTTGTACATGTGACCAATGCATTCATCCTTCGGTGCTTGATTTTGAAACACGTAAAGAAATAATAATCAGATAGACTCTGCATTACTGGAAGAATCTTGAAATTAAGATTGTGCTATGCTGAGGATTTCTACTGCTGGTAGGGAATAATTTCCCCTGCCTTTGCATTATTCATCTCATGTAAATTTTGATAAAGTTCATCACTGTGATTATTATTTCATTTACCACATTTTATATGTTTGTAGCACCATTTCCTAAGGTGCTATAAACCACCATAGGATCTTTTTCCTATTCCAGAATAATAGAAATGTGTGTGTTCTTGATATAAAAGGGAGCCTTTTTAGAAGCAGGTAATTAACATACATCATCATAACTTACTACATTGAACTTACTGCAATATGAGTGTCCTTTCCCACCATGTGTAGGAGTGGGCTTTTTAGGCCACAATATCTATGTATTATGTCCTTATGCACCTTCAGCAATAGGCACCTAATGCATATACCAGGCATATTCAGATGATTTTTATGCTCACAATTATCCTATGAGATGGGAATAATAATCCTCACTTTTATGACTAAGATTCTTTAGCTCAATGATTTCCTCAAATTTACACAGCGAATAAAATGGAAGAGCCAGGATTCTAAACCAGGGTTCTCTGATTGTAGAACCCATGATCTTTTTATGGTCATATTCACTGCAGAGAATTCAGCTTCCTTGACAGAAATTCTAGGCTTAGAAAGGATCAAAAAAATATGACTCATTGGGGTGACTCTGATTTGACAGTACCCTGATAATTCTCCAGGAGCACAGGTGGAAACTCCCAAAATGGGGATGGTTTTTTAGATTCACACAAATTCAGCAATGAAAAATGGGTCAAAGGTCATCTAGCCCAACCTCCAAAAGGCCATCTACCCTACTCTTGGATGCTGCCTGGGCTTTCTTGAGGCAGTTATTTTCTTC
The DNA here is from genome assembly GCF_000001405.40 of Homo sapiens. Taxonomy (NCBI): domain Eukaryota; kingdom Metazoa; phylum Chordata; class Mammalia; order Primates; family Hominidae; genus Homo; species Homo sapiens. Next base: position 89,049,586 of record NC_000005.10, read on the forward strand.
ATGGTGCAGCACAACTTCTAGAAAGTACTTCATGTTCAGCCAAACTCTATCTTATGGTGCTTTCATACAAAATAAGCCTAATCTAGCCTGAAAGACTGCATAACAGTCTTTCATGATCTACTTAAAGTGGTGAAAGAAAAAAGATTGTGAACTGCATGACAGTCTTTTGTTGCGGGATGTCAGGGACCCCAAATGGAGGGACTGGCTGGAGCCGTGGCAGAGGAACATAAATTGTGAAGATTTCATAGACATTTATCAGTTCCCAAATAATACTTTTATAATCTCTTATGCCTGTCCTACTTTCATCTCTTAATCCTGTTATCTTTGTAAGCTGAGGATGTACGTCACCTCAGGACCACTATGATAATTGTGTTAACTGTACAAATTTATTGTAAAACATATGTGTTTGAACAATATGAAATCAGTGCACCTTGAAAAAGAACAGAATAACAGCGATTTTTAGGGAACAAGGGAAGGCAACCATAAGGTCTGACTGCCTGCTGGGCTGGGCAAAAAGAGCCATAGTTTTTCTTCTTGCAGAGAGCCTATAAACAGACGTGCAAGTAGAGAAGATATCACTAAATTCTTTTCCTAGCAAATAATATTGATATTAATATTCTGTGAAGGAATTCATTCCTGGGGGGAGGTCTGTAAACAGCCGCTCTGGGAATGTCTGTTCTGTGCGGTTGAGATAAGCACTGAGATATGCCCCGGTCTCCTGCAGTACCCTCAGGCTTACTATGATTGGGAAACTCCATCCTGGTAAATTTTTGGTCAGACTGGTTCTCTGCTCTTGAACCCTGTTTTCTGTTAAGATGTTTATCAAGACAATACGTGCACCACTGAACATAGACCCTTATCAGGAGTTCAGTTTTTGCCCTTGTCCTGTTTCCTCAAAAGCATGTGATCTTTGTTCTGCGTTTTGCCTTTTGATGCATGTGATCTTTGTGACCTATTCCCTGTTGGTGCACCCCCTCCCCTTTTGAAATCCTTAATAAAAACTTGCTGGTTTTGCAGCTCAGGTGGGCATCATGGTCCTTCCGATATGTGATGTCATCCCCGGCGGCCCACCTGTAAAATTCCTCTCTTTGTACTCTTTCTCTTTATTTCTCAGCCGGCTGACACTTATGGAAAATAGAAAGCAACTATGTTGAAATATTGGGGGCGAGTTTCCCCGATAGTCTTTCAGATATTTGAAGGGGGTTCCAAATTTCCTCTATTTTCTTTTAATCAGTCCCAGTGCTTTCAACTGCACTCTGTAGGATACAGGTGTGTTTCCCCCATAACCTTATGTTATTATTCCTGAATACTGTGTAGGCTTACGAGGTAGCATTAGGAGCTCAATGCAGTGTATCCAGGATGGATTCAACCAGTGCAGATTAGAATGGCACTGCCACTTAGGAATTTTAGATAATGTACATTTGAGATTACACTTGGCAGCCACACTGAAGTGTCATTTCTTAATTCTAGCCGAGTCTCCTTCACAACATCCCGCACCTTAACAAATGCAGGTCTCAGGTTCCAGTCAAACTCTAAAGTTTTGCAATCTTGTCATAGCTTTAGGAAAGAATCCTCAAGGAAGAGAGTCAAATATACTTGTCTGTTTCCAAGAAAATAGGCAAGGAGGTGGACGAGCAATCTTTAGCACAGCAGGCATTTGTTACTTAAGCTGGCACCCTGAATTTGTGCCTGGGTCTCAGTGGGGATAAAATGTGGTGTGAATGGTCAGAAGTAAGTGGATAGAAAGAATTGTTTCCCCAAATGTCTGAGAGATATTAAGAGACAGAAGACACTGCTTCTTCTAACAAACTCTGACTCCAACATAAGGGTCAGTGATTTAGCTCATATGTTAGTTCTTACAGTACCTGGTGACAAAATTCATGATGGCCGTTATGGATTTGTGTACTGCATTTAGGAGTGTTCTTTCTAGCCTGCCATGTCTAAAAGTATGAGAATCTAGGATGGAGCAGAAAGAGTTATACCTTGCTCGTTCATACTCAGAAGGTGGGGAATATATTACTTGCGTCCTTTGGAGCTATATGTGTGGGTATTACTGGAATGACAATGAATTTACTATTACTTTTGTGGAAATGTAAAATGAATAATTTGCAAAAATGTAAATTGAATACAGAAAGAGTACACTATGTTCCATTTCAATTAGCAGAGTAGGTATACAATTTGTATGGAAATATAATCAGATGTTTATTTGTTGCATTCATTTTAGATACTCATAATAGGCAGCTGTAGGGTATTCAGTGCTCTCTGTATCAGATTTGAATTAATGACCTACTTGCAAAACCCTCTGTTCCATGTCCATCAAGCATATATTTTTATTTAAATTTCTAGTATATTTAAATATAAATAAATTCTGTTTTCACATTTTAAAGGATTGTTTTAATCCTTTGTAACAGGATGCATCTTTCAACATTTTGAGAATAAATGGAAGAAAAAGGTTTACAAGTGAAGTACTTTAAAACATCTGAATTTAGGATATAAATATTTTCATACCTTTTATATATTTTATATGTAAAATACACTCACACCAATACAGACGCATACACTCTCCATCTCTTCCTCTCTTGATCTCTTCCAAGCTGTACATAGATATGACATAAGAAGACATACAAACACCTGTTTACATTGGCAAATTTCAACATGCTTTTTATGTGGAGGGAATATAACTGGGGCCCTTAAAAAATACTTGATATGTTTATATCCTAAAAAAGCCGAAGTGTTTCCTTACCTGGACTTGCTAAAAATGCCTGTATTTCTTACTTGCTCAACATAAATCAGTCTCATACCCTCTGTGCACAAGCACCCATGCACGCAAAGATTCCGAAAGGGAAAATTCTTGAAAGACGCAACAAAGAAAGAGAGGAGGAATCCTTTAAATGTAAAGCCATAGTTTACTAAGTGTCTTTAGGATTCAGGTAAGGGGCCTCTCTCTCTTTGCTCCTCTCTTCTTAGTCTTTAAGTCCACTGATGACAGGAAAATCTTCTATGGTTCCAGAGAGAAACTGCTGGAAATCCTGCACATTTACCTTCTAGAAGAAAGTAAACTAATTACAAGAGTGATACCCTGAGAGAGATCTTCCCTCTTAAAATACTTTAAAGGACTCCAAATTAAATTATATCCATGTCCAGGACCCAGAAGTGGCTCAGGAAAGGGAAGGAGCATTTGGTTAATGTCAGGTGATTTCTAAAGTCTCAGATTCTAAGGGGAGAGCAAAGTTAGGGAAAGGAGGGGGATGGAGAATACATTTTGAGAATCTACCAAATATCAGGATAACTATTCAACTCCAAGGATTTTCTGTTTTATTTTGTATCTTTCAATTTATTAAGAAAGAACAAGCATGTCTTTTTTAAAAAGATATATTTTTCTCTTTAATATTCTGTACTTAAAATCTAAGTATGGACCTATCATTCATTAGTTCTAGGGTAGGTCACAGCCTAATTTACAAATTCAAAAGAATAAGTTAGATAAACTAAATTGCTTAAGACCACATATTTGTAAGTTGGAGTATGCACTAAAAATTTCCTGTCCTTGAACTGGCATACTGGGAAATGAATTCCGCTTTTCTCTCAGAATTTATTCATATTGTGAGTTTTATAATTTTACTTATCAGTTGAGGTTGTTTTACCTACATCCACTCATGTAATATAAAGTGTAAAATTAAGGCAATGATCCAGAAAATTCAGGGCAAAGTCATTTTAAAGTATCTGGATCTTCCTAGAGATTCTGATTTTAAAAATCTGAGAAAAAGGGTAATGACTCAACATCCTTAGCTCTAAAATATATCTGACAGGTTATTTTTATTTGTTGGGTCTTCAGAAATCATATTCATGTCTGAAGTCTTTCGTAAAATGAATCAAAGCCACTCTGTATCCAAAGCTAACACCAGTGTTGTCTTTTTTTGTAAAAAAAAAAAAAAAAAAAAAAAAAAATTGGAGGGCTTTACCTCAAGTGCTATGCAGTAAATTTACAGGGAAAGAAAAATTTTATTAAATTATAACTGAGAGGTGCTGATTTTTTTACATAGCAAACAAAAAATTCCTTCATGAAAGGCTATAAAACCATATTATTTACCAGAGAGACCTTTCCTGTCTCCCAGGTAAACATTTACAGTGTGTAGACTTGTGTAAATACATATTTAGGAGTGGCTAAATATGGCGAGGTATTTTTAAAGGCATAATTACAAAGGTGAATACATATATTGGCGTTTTGGTATGTGTAAGCTAGGTATACTGCTCTGCTGTTCAGAACCCTAGCGGGACTATGGTAGATACACGTTGGATACAGGGACCAAGTTTCCAAACATTCATCTTTAATCTAAATTACTAAAGACAGGTTCTTAAATTGTTTCAAAAAAGTGAAAATTTCCATCTAATGGAGTTCAAGTCTTTCTTGCCAGTTTGACTCGAGGAAACTTGTTTCAGAAAATCAGGCATCATTCATGGAAGTGAATCTGTTTTCTGGATATCTTTGTGTATAAAGTAACCAACATTTCACATTCAGCTCAGAATATTACCAAATACTCAAAGATACAGTCCGTATGACAAATGGATCAACTAGGAAATTTTAGTGAAGGGGGAAATGCCATTAAGATGTTTTTAAAATACTTTAAAAAATATGAAAATGTAAGTGAAAAAAATCTGTTGTTGATGAGATGGCAGGAAGCTGCGTATGGTAATGTGCTGAAACTCTGTCTAGAGGATGCAGGATGTCTATGTGCAGCCTTGCTTCTTGGGAAATGTGTTCTCTGTGAGGAAAAGAATGAAATGGAAACCCCTAGAGAGGTTGTAGATGCATGAGAGAGCACTATCTGTGTCTCTCTTCCTGTGTGCTCTACCTCGGAATGAAGATTCAATTCATGTAAAAACCCTTTCTAAGATGGAAAAGTCGAGAGTCTAAATAACTGTAGAGCTTGAACTATCTCAGGAGTCTTTGGCAAAGAAGTCTAAACAATGCTTTTATTTCATTTCTAATGCAGTACACAGCTATTTCTAAATGCTCTCAATATCCTGCTGTGGGATAACTGAAAATCTTTTTATGGTAAACCATATGGGAACAAAGTATTTATTCAGTAAAATGATTTCTCCATTAAAATTTCCACTGGGCTGAGTTTTTTAACTGTACAAAAATACATACCATATGTACGTACTTTTTTCCCAAGGTACAAACACCACAAATTGTGATTAAACATTCTAGGTTCTAAAACTTTAAATATCACCTTAACTTAAAATATTATGCTGCTGCTATCATGCCTCTGGAATGTAAGAACTTCTAACACAAGTGCTGACAATTTTGGTGTACTTTATACATACTGTTTGTACATACTATTTGTACCGACGTTTGAGACTTGGAAAACAAGCTTTCTCAGCAAGAGACAATCCTCTTTAAAAAAAAAAAATAAAAATATGAACAGGCGCAAGTACCTTTGCATTACAGTTTTTATTAGTTCATCCCATCTTTAATTTTGTTCTGTGGCTAAGTATCTCATTTCCATGTAAACTTCCACTAGGAACACAAATTGCTGACACCACATCTACCGACAGAAATGCCACAACATAAATTATGCCAAGAAAATGCCGCTTTGGGTGGGGGGCAAGAGAGGGGGAACTAAGCTAGATAAAAAGCCACTGTGTTACTGCCCAGCCTGCAACTCTGTCCCGCTGACCACTGATAAAATTTATCACAAGGCCACATACGGGAAGGCAGCCTAAAGAAGATTTGTCTGTGGTAAAACGTGTAACAGCAAAATAGCTAATGGAGCATTATTACTTTATTGGAAAGCAATATCTTTGGATGCTTCACTTTTCTAGCCTTAGCAAGAGTATGAATTGTTCTTCTATATGCAGAAGAGCTGATAAGAGAAGGTTGTCAGAACTCTGAATGACGGCAATAAGCATCTTTAGAGCTTACCAGTTCACCACTCTCTGCCCAGTACTCTTAACTAGTAGAGGAGTAAACAAGGGCCAAGAACATTAAAAGCCAATCTGAATCTTCATTCTTAGAAAAAATGGTTTGTTGACCTATAATGCAAATGGACTCTTTGCAAAGAAGCAGTCTTGGAAATTTCATGGTTAATTACTGTTGTCATAAGTCAGTCCTGGCATTAGTAGAAAGGAAAAATATTCAGATTACACAAATAAAGGGAATCTCATTTGCTAAGAAATTTAAAAACTTTGTCATTGGATGGGGCTTATTTATTCTTTACGAGTTGAAAGGAAGGAAGTTGGGTCAACTTATGTATGCTTTGGGCAGTCACAGTTGCATGCTTAGAATTGTTCTAAATAAAACTGATCAACATACCAGAGGATTTTGTTGCTCTTAGCATATTTGCTATGCCCTGAAGCCATTACCTAAAACATAAATAGTTGGACATGCAAGCTGCAGCTGTATTCTGCCCCCTACTCAGCATGCATCGGAGCCTCTGAGCTCTGTCCATTGCTACATGTGCATTAAATAAGTCAGGTATTTTGGATAAACTGCCTCCCGTTAACGTAAGAGAAACTGCATTGGTACCTAATGGGTTCACTTCATGCTAAATCCACTAATAACTGCAAAAAGTATTAGTAGGAGAGTAAAGTTTGCATTTCTTGCTGTCAACCTCAGAACTCAGGAACCTCTCAACAACCTTCTTTCTTTTTTGTTCAAGTCCATTGTCAATGCCATATTTATATAACCCCTTCATGAAGCTACTTATGTACCTAGCCTCTACAGTTGCTTAGGTTAATATCTCATGTTTACTGCCTGCAATTTAAAGCAGTACTTTATTTTATTTTTCCTAAATACACCTCATTCAAGCTGTAAGGGAAATTATTTAAATGCTGAAATCACCAGAGTTAGGTGAATAATGATAACTACTATTTATTATTGAATGCCTACCATGCTAAGCACTGTTCAGGAGCTTTCTGTATATTAATTCATGTAGTCCTCAGAAAACTTTATAGAAATAGTTATAATTTTCTTCATTTAAAAAAATGGAGTTTGAGATTTAGAGAAGTTGGTACAATTTACTGCAGGCCTCATAGCTGGTAGACTTGTTAATTGTAATATAACATTTTGAATTTTGTGTGTAGATGAATGTTTTTCACAATTGCAAACTTACGGATAGCAGAAAATGGGCCTTTTTACTTTGTCTTTTGTGAGCACAATGAATGCCATACAGCGCCATGCATAAGAACGCATGGAGGTGTGCACTATGTTTCCTTTCCTTATGAAAAAAGGGACATTCAGCAATTTCTTAACCCCATGGGGCCTCAGTTGCCTCACATGTAAAGTGTGAAAATAATGCTTTAACAGTGAAGACAGAGATGGATCAACTGGTTTCTATGGATTCTTTCTAGGTTTTAAGATGCATTTTAGTAAAACGGCAAAGGCCAGGTGGCTCACTCCTGTAATCCCGGCACTTTGGGAGGCCATCACCTGAGGTCAGGAGTTTGAGACCAGCCTGGTCAACATGGTGAAACCCCATCTCTACTAGAAATACAAAAAAATAGCAAGGCATGCTGGTGAACACCTGTAATCCCAGCTACTCAGGAGGCTGAGGCAGGAGAATCCCTTGAACCTGGAAGGCAGAGGTTGCAATGAGCTGAGATCATGCCACCACACTCCAGCCTGGGTGACACAGTGAGACTCCGTCTCAAAAATAAATAAATAAGTAAATAAATAAATAAAATGACAAAGAAAAAAATCACATCTGTGTCGGGATACAGAGCCCAGCCACCAGAAGTCTACCTCAGTCTCTGACATTATATTGCTGCTATAGGCAACAGTATAATGCAACTGAAAAACAATAGCTTTATCTACATAGATAAAGAAACCTAGATTAAAGAAAGCAAATATCTAGCGAACCTGCAAAGAAGGCCAGTTATGATAGTATCAACATCAGCTAACTCTGGAGTCTTCATCAATATGCTCACCTTGTACCTTTGAGAGTCTCTGTTTAGAAAATAGAGGAAGAATTTGATGATGGAACATTTATCTTCTGTGAGCCCAAATTGATTATTAATTGTCTTTAACGAGTAGAGAATGTAGACCTTGGAACATCTGCTTTCTAGTTCCCTATATCATTTCTGGAAAAAAAAAAAGACTTCATGCTAACTTTCATTGCAATAACTAAAGCCAATTTAGGTTTCTGAAGAAAGATTCTGATGGATAAGATTGAAGGCTATTACTGAGGAAACTAAAAGGGTGGACTTTCCCTAATGTAAGAAGAGGCAGATAAAGACTAGGAGTCAAGAAAGCTAAGTAGCAACTCCTCACTTACTAAAAACTAACATCTAAACACATTTTTCCTTTTTTCTCACATTCTCATGTTCCTTGTGTTCTTTACACATCTCTGTAGCTTGGCCTGATACCCAAGCTGACTTAAGTCTTTTACCAGCCAGAAGAGAAAGGGAATGGGACGGTGTGTCGAGTGAGGATGCTTGACTCTGAAATGAAAATGGTGGAGTTCATTTTTATCTAGGCTTTAGTGATAACCCTTTAGAAAAAGGCAAGTGCAGTGCAAGTGGATTCTCTCTGTGTTCTAGGTAGTGAGAGCTTAGAAAAGGCAGATGTCCACTTGGTCATTATCCTTGAATTTACTGGTCCGAACCAAAAGATTGAAGTACAGATATCGCTTTACACATAACCACAGTAATAATTATGAGTATTTCACATCTGAGAGGAGACAGGTTAAGACAAATAGGAAAGTGGGAAGAGGTGGTTAAAAGAAATTTAAAAAGTACAAAAAGTTCCAACTTAGTGTAGAAAAACAAAAATCAAGAAAGCACAGAGGTATTCCCTAGTTACTTTCTAGCACTTTTTAAACATTTCATGGCTTTATTTATTCCTTTAGATGAGAATCTTGTGAATATCCCAGCTATATCACATTCTAGAAATAGAAGGAAAGCTTCCTCCTCTCCCAATCTCTCTCTCTCACTCAATATTCTGTAAATTTGACCCGTGTGTCACTTGAGGTATGGTTTCTTATTGAGAAACTTAAAGGATCTTATGTAAGCACCTGGAGTCAGTACAAGGGAGCCCTCACATTACCTGTTTCATTCTTTCTTTAACTTGGGAAAGAAAACCTTTAAAAATCAGGTATTCAATGCTAAAATAAGGTCTGTAGTATAGGGCTACAGCCCCTAATGTGTCTCTTGTTGGTGGAGGAGGGCACCATAACGTCTCTCTGAGCTGACATGTGAGACTTCATAGTTATGAGAATGGTGAGGTTTGGAGCAGTGCCTATTAGACTCTCAGGGTTGTCCTAGGGACAGTGTAATCTCATTTTGACATGACCAATATAACATATCAAAATATTGAAAAAAGAACTTATTTTCTTCTAAAATTTTGGCTCAACTAAGTATTATTATGCTTTTTGTGGTTAAAACCAAATCATTGTTTTCTTCAATTTCATATTCATTGTGTTTAGCATCCCTTAAGTAATTCTTCATCTTGGGGGAGAATAAAGCGTCTTTAGCCAGTCATTCTGACAATAAAGTTCATGAGACTGTATTGGGAAATTCAATTATGGATAATGGGCAATTGTAGGTAAAAAAATGTTGAGGCTACTGCAAACATTATTGTTTTTCATTTTTAGAAATGAAACTTTTTTTTTCTTTTAAGGAAGAGATGGAAAGCAGAACCAAATTGAAAATTGGAATGATAATGACAATTGAATAGACGGTATCCTAAACTTTCCAAAAATTACTGATCTACCATGATTTTAACAATTTTATTTAAGTATATTTCTTCACTTTTTTAACTTTTGGAGATCACTCTGTGTTTCCAAATATCATTTAAAAATAGGTTTTCTAATTATACTTATCCTCTCACTCATATTACATATACTACAGTAGTAAGTCATGCAAATAGCAAATATTTCAATGTGGTTTCTCATTCAACAATGGCTTATAATAAAGTACTGGTAGATGATGAATGTGACTATACAGCATTCCTAAAATATTTGTAAATGAAAATTAAATTATGACGAATTTCTTCTTTTATTCCACACAAATCAGTGATGTTTCACTGATTCAGGTACTATTAAAAACTCAACTTATTTGACAATTTATCATTTAATGAATTTCCCATGGTGGAGAAGATTGACCGATTGAACATATCCTGGCTTCATAAAGATGTTTCTGGAAGGACAATATCACCAGACAATGCACACACAAAATGGGTACTTCATATAGGCAAACTAAGAGTTTAAAATACAGTGTATAGGACTCTAGTTAACATTGGTAGATCCCTTGGGAGAACTTTGTTGGAATTATTCTTAAAGTAGTGTCACTTAGGGTTACACTTGAATTTTAGGCTTAATGGGCAACAATAAATAGTGTATTGTTGTCAAAGCTCAAGGCAATTGTACATTGAAAAGAACGTGTTTTTTTACGTTGTTACCCCTGCTACTTGAACACACAGTATTTAAGAAAAAATTATTTCATAAGCCATTTTTTCCTCTTGAGTTTCAGTCAGCAATTTGGATAGTAGTCCTCAGATAGCTTGCACCTGATGAGCAATAGTCCCAGGCAAAGCTCCCCGAGAAAATCACAGCTATACTGCTGGAGAGAGTTACCTACACTCCCATTCTCTACTTCTTTACTTCCCATTCAAGTCCTCAACCTATTTCAGTTTCTAACTTTACCACTTATTAACTGTGTGCCCTTTGTGTCTGCAGTTTTTCATCTGGAAAAGAGGGTAATAGTATGCACATCATAATATGTTTGAATGAGAGTGTATGTAGACATATGTGTGTATATACTTTGTGAAGATACAAACAACAAATATATGTACATACACATATATCTATATATGCTAATGGAAACTTCTTAATTTGTTATGCTATTGTATATGGTATTTTAACTTCTCTCCTATATTACCTTGAGACCATGATCTCGTATGTTACCAAATGGCCTGTACAAAAAGAAAGGACCCCCTTAGTCCTTGTATTGCTTGACTTCTCAGCCCCATTGGACACTATTGCACACTTGCTTTTTCAGGAACTCTTTCACTCTTCTTATTTCCATCAAGTTTTCTCTGCTCTCTCTTCCTCAATCCTTTCCCAGTGCTTCTTTCACTCTTATTCCTTAAATATTAGGCTTTCTCAGGGTTCAGCCCTTGGCACTTGGCTCTTTTGCTTTACCCATTTTCTTTGCCCAATGTCATTTGGTTTTGGAATTTGCATTATTGTAAAATCTATAAGCTGATGATGTCCACATTCCTATTACCTGCTTAGATTTTATGCTAAGCATCAGACCTCTATATCCACCTGCCCGCTTAGCATCCTATATGTACTTCACATTGAACATGTTGAAACTGGGCTTGTCATCTTCCCTGTCCTATCCTCCCTCCCCTCATTAAATGGTGCCAGTATTTACCTAGTTGTTCATTAAACGAACATAGGGTTACATTTGTTTCCTGTATTCCTCCTCCTGACTCACTCCTATGTAATATCAAGTCCTAAGTATTCTTTATCTTAAGGAATCCCTTTATCTCATTTTATCTCAACTGCCTCTTCCCTAATTTGCCTCTGGCCTGACCTACTAAAACAACCTTCTAAATAGCTTCTGCACTCTAGTCTTGTCTTCATTATTCTATATAGAAGATTAAAAATAGTTCTAGAAATTAAATCTCATCATTTTCTTTCTGAGCATCAGAAAGTACAGTCTCTTTAAAGTGGTGTATAATCTGGCCACTGTCTATCTCTGTAGTTTCCCCACTTGCATAGAATCCATGCTTTCTATCCCTGGCATTTTGCACATGCTGTTTCCTCTGCCTAAAACATTTCCCCAATTTCCCTACTATTTTCTGGCTTAGTTGATAATGATACAGTAAGCCTTAGTTTACACTTTACTTTCTCTAGGACGCCTTCATAGGCATTGACTCCTCCAAGACATTTCTCTTGACATTTCTCATGATGCCTTTACTTTTACCATCATAACATATATCATGTTGCCTTACAATTGTCCATTTATCTCTTTTCCTGTTAGACTCCAAATTTCAACAAGGTAAAGATCATGTCTACATTTTTCAAGGTTATATCTAGATTAATGTTAGTAACTGAGAATGTATAGGGTAAAGATTTGTGAGTGCAAATATATTAGTCAATAAGTCTTTTCAAGCAAGAATAACAGAAATGGGTCAAAGCTCATAATCTGCTTTTTTTAAAAAAGAAATTTAGAATATCATTAAAACATTATACAAATGAATTTATAAGGTTCTATAACTATAAGGTTCACACGATGAGGAGTAATATTTTAAGGCATGAAATATGTGATCTAGGGTGATGCCAAATTTAATGACATCACAACTTAATTTGAGTCTGGCATAATTACCATCCCAAATATCTAGGCCTTGGGCAGCAACTCAAGTCTTGTCTGGTCACAGTTATGGATGTTATATTTTATTCAGCCGATTTATTTTAGTAATTCAAAGGCTTCACATTTTTACAGTTTGAAAGGGGGAATTTTTCTTAGTTCTTTGGGCCTTTGTTCATATTAAATTTTTGCATCATATAACCTATTTTTTTCTGCCTATGTTTTAAAACACCTGTTCGTCCTTTTTTTTTTTTCTGCTGCTCCACAAGGTGAAAACAAACTCCCCAATTCCGTAATCTTTTATGTCCATTTAGTGCAAGAGTCCTCAGTAATACAGCTTTGAACTAGTGATAGTATGATTCTGTTAGATTAGTTTACCATATCAGTTGATTTTAGTCTCAATACCCCCATTTCTTACCACAAATATAGTGCTTATCTTCACTCTAGTATTTTAAGATATACCTAATTTAGAGATTTCTCCACCTAGCTACTTGCTTAATCTTCCTGTCCTATCGAATCAACTTTCTTTTTCTTTTCTTTCTTTTTTTTTTTTTTTGAGATGGAGTCTCACTCTGTCACCCAAATTGGAGTGCAGTGGCATGATCTCAACTCACTGCTACCTCCACCTCCTAGATTTAAGTGATCCTCCCACCTCACCCTCCCCAGTAGCTGGGATTACAGGCATGTGTCCCCACACCTGGCTAATTTTTTTGCATTTTAGTAGAGATGGGGTTTCATCTTTTTGGCCAGGCTGGTTTCTAACTCCTGACCTCAGGTGATCCACCTGCTCAGCCTGTCAAATTGTTGGGATTACAGGCGTGAGCCACCACATCTGGCCCTATCAAATTAACTTTTCAAAGGAGACAGATTTTAAACATGTTAAATATTTTGAAGAGAATTACTTAAAAACAGTTATAAGGTAATTTTTTTCTTACATGTATGTATGATTTTACCTTTAAAGTTTTTCATTTGCTCTCAAAAGTTTTTTTGGTCAATTGTTTTGTGCAACATTTTTAATGGGAAGTATAGGATTTGTTCATTTACACTGGACATACTTCATATTTGAAAAAGAAGTTTGAAGGTTGTAGACATAAAGCATATAGATATAATCCCTGATTGCTTAGTATATATACATATATATACATTATATATTTATATATATGTATGTATGTGTATGTGTATGTGCATATAAATGTACATACACAGAAATACAATCTGTATTTACTATATTTGTGTATGCTATATGATATATAATACATGTATAATGAATATGTATACTATATATACACACATACTATAAATACTATGTTTACATATCCATATACGTATATATACATTATATATGTAATATTGTCCCAAATAATTTATAAATACTTGATGAATTAACATTCTGAATTAAAAAGTGTAGTTAGTTCTCTTAAGAAAATTGGCAATAAAAATAACGTGTAAAAAAGAATGTCAATTATAATTTATATTATGCCTTAAAGAAAACCAAGCTACTCTGATCAGTATGGCAAAGAAACAGAATTTTCAGTATAATATCTATTAAGATTTCCTCTAGATGACAGAAAACACCTACAATGAAAATACTTTAAATTGTAAGTCTCTGTCCCTATCCTCTATCATGCTGCCCAAATGTGCTTCTTAAGACACAATTTCTTGACATTTCTTGGAGATAACACAGATTTTTGTAGCTCAATAGCTTTGTAAATGAGAGTTACATGTTAAACTCCTTTACTTATCCTAAGTTTTTTTTAAGTGTCCTTTGCTCTTTGTATTTTTTGGCTCTTATAATTCTTTGCAGATATTTCCATTATTTATTTGCCACATTGTATCACTTTCATCCTTTACTTTTCTATCTTTCACACTGGGACCAATGTACTGTTAAATTTTATAGGCAGACAACCTGGGCAAAAATTTCTGAGATTGTGGAAAAATATATATATTCTGGCTATAAATTATGAAAAACTGCATCAAAATTAATAAATGTTAAAATGCCTATAAAAATAATCTCAAGCAAATATAACTTAACTCGGATGTGGTTATGTGAATTATATTTAATGTGAGATGTGAGTGCATTTTAATGTTTTATATGATGTCAGGAAGATCTGCAAAACTCTAGATCCTGAGAATGTATCAAGTTGGCTCTGTGGTACCACTACACTTTGAGAGCAAGAATTGTGTTTGACTCATTTTTATAATTCTGAAGACCAATAGTAGACACTGATATGTGGTAAGTACTTAAACACTGGCAAAGAAATGCCTGGAAATTGTAAACATTCTGTAAGTATCACATGGCTGTGTAATGGTCCATAGTAAATGAATGTAGCCAGAGAGGCAGTATATCATAGTTGTTGAGAGTGTAACATTGAAGTCCCACAAACCACAGTTGGAGTTTTGGTTTTGTCACTTATTACAAGGGCGATTTAGAGTGAGTCATATATCTCTGTAAGTCTAAATTCTCTCCTCCATTAAATGGAATAATAGTAGTATTTACCTCTTAGGATTTTCATGAGGATTAAATGAGATAATGTATGTTAAACACTTAGAATGGTTCATGGAATGAGGTAAGATTTTAATAAAAGTAGAGTTAATGTTGTCATTATTACTATAAACTAGGTAAAAGGTAGCTTTAACAAAAATTGCTACATCTATAGTATTTAAATTTTCAAATAGCTTTTATTCTTGTTAGCCAAATTTGAGGAGAGTAGAGATAAGAGGTCATAATGAATAACTTTCTCCAAATTCTCAATTCTCACCAGCAACAGATTGTAAAACAAAAAAATGCTGGAATAAGTCAGATTTTGAGGCTCTATGTAAAATTTAAAAAGTGATGGTGATAAAAGCTTTCTTATTCTCAAGATAACATGCATGAAAACAATTTGTGATTCAGGATAGCAATACGGGTATGTCTTTAAGCCAAGTAACTCATTGTGACACATTGTCCTTGCTTTCTAAAGTAGGCCTCATCTCACTTTTAATGTGTGAAAGGGGAGATTATTCAACACAGTGGTAGACACATTTTTGTTCTCAAGAACACTGAGATATCATTAATCTTCTGGCACGCCTGCAAAGGCGGGTTATGTGAATGCTAGTCTTTTGCAAGGCTATAAATAAAGTTTAAAGAGAGAAAGAGGCAGAAAGAAAAGATGTTTTCCTGAAGCTTCTATTGCCACAGTACGGACCACATTAAGGGTGCAATAACTTACCAGTAATAACACTTAAAAAATCCTCTTTTTGGGTTTTCAACATCTGTTTAGAAAAAATCCAGCCTAAAAATAGAATCTGGTCTTGTAATGTAGCTTTCTCAAATTGGGTTATCCTAAACCCTCTCTGCATTGAATGGTCACATATGACAATTTAGGGCCAGATTTGTGGCATAGCAATGGTTTATCATATATATCACATGCTTAGCATCCTGTAAAATGCTGCCATACACATTCATGTATTAGGGTATGTGTGTATGTGTGCACGTGTGTGTATGTGTGTGAAGTAGTTCCTTGTGAATGGGAAAGCTTTAGTGAAAATAATTTTTGCTTCGTTGGCTTCTGAAATGCAAAGCAAAAAATGATACACATTTTTCTTATTTTTTATATTAGGAATTTCATTCTGTTTGATAATAGACTAAATTTCATAATTATCAATGTTTAAAAATACTCTTAGGAATAACGCTTGTATTGCTAAATGCTGTTAGAGCATGCTTATGTATTATTATTACATATAATACAGACTTAATTTTCTCATCAAATTGGAATAACTGGTAGCATTTTTTGGTTCCAGCAAAGGCCTCTCTCCTACGGTCCTTCAGTGAGCAAAACTTCTCCTGACTTCATGAGAAGGTATAAAGCAATTAACACATCACAATTATTGTTTAGGGCTATTTTTATTCAACCCTATAGAGCTAAAAAAACAAAAATAAATACCTTTCTTAAAACACCAATTTCATTGCACTTTAATTATATCTTGCCATACACACTTGGAAGTTTTTTTTTTTCATAATGTTTTGGAATTTGGGACTTCCAAACAGTTTATATATGACAAACTAAAGACACTGCAATTAGAATCTCTTTGTTATTCAGTTTTTAAGGAGTTTGTGTGGCTAATTAAGAGTCAACATTTCTGGCAGTTTTTCAGGTTGAGCAAACCTTTAGATTCAAGACAGTCTGCTGACGTGGCAGTCCTGATCCTCTCATTACACTCATAACTGAACTTCAAGGGAACTCCTGAGTCTGTGGCTCTTTGCTTTGCCCTCTGAATTTGAGAGGCCTCATCTGGGGGCTTGTGATGAGACAGCCATTTCTCTACTGGTCTTTGCATGTGGCTCCACTCTCACACAGCTCACATACGGGGGGTTCATTACATTATGTAACCGATTAGGATGGAATGGGCAGTTTAAATTCCTCATCCAAGAAGCATAGGAGTAGAATTTCCATGCCATGTACGTAAAAAGCTAAAACACAGGCCTGATCTTCTCAACACAGGAGGTAAAATCCTCAGAAGCCAGCATGGCTTTTGGAGATCTAGTCCTGACCATCAAGAGGGACAGTGATGGTAATCAGATATTTTTAATAGAGTTTGAAAACTCATTGAAAATGTGAATTTAGAGAGTACAATGTGGTCCTCATTTACAGAAGAAAACAAAAAGGGAAAATAAAGAGAATAGTAATGAATATTTATGAAGTTTTTATTATACATGGTTAAATACGCAATTACCTGGTCTGTTACTGAAAATATTTTCATGAAGTATATATTACTTTCCTATGGGACACTGAAGGAAATACACTATTGTGGCAGGGTGGGTAACTTGTTTATGATCTCAAAATTACTAGGTGGTAGAGACAGGATTTGAATCCAGGTTGGTCTGATTCTGAAGTTCACATTCTTAACCAGGATCAACAGGATTCACCTACAATCAGATGGTGGTTGAAGCAAGATTTCATTTGCTGGGTTCCTCCCTTCGCCTTCAAGGAAACTTCTCCTCCTTTTTGGTGGTCCCTATTCCCATCTACTGTCCCATTGTTCACAGGTCTTATTTTACCTCATCCTTGTCCACTCCCAATAAAAATGTGAACAGAAAATAATACTAGCTAACGGTATTTCTCTGACACATGACTGTATTTTGGTAAAAATTAATACACAAAGATGTATCTAAGAGGAACAAAATGTACTTCAGACAACACGGCCACTGGAGAATGTTGGAAGACATGTAAGGATTAAGAAACTGTGTCTTCCTAGAGAGGGACTTGGGGTCTGGGGAAACTCAGTGTTTTCTACTCAAATATTTTTACACAGATAAAATCAGTCTAAAATGAACCCGAAGAGCGTATTTGTAGGCAAAAGAACTCATGAACTAAATAGCTTCAGGGGGCCAGGCGCAGTGGCTTACACCTGTAATCCCAGCACTTTGGGAGGCCGAGGTGGGTGGATCGCTTCAGGTCAGGAGTTCGAGATCAGCCTCGCCGACATGGCAAAACCCCTTCTCTACTAAAACTACAAAAATGAGCAGCCATGGTGGTGGGCACCTGTAATCCCAGTTACTCTGGAAGCTGAGGCAGAAGAATCACTTGAACCCAGGAGGTGGAGGTTGCAGTGAGCCGAGATCATGCCACTGCATTCCAGCCTGGGTGACAGAACGAGACTTTGTCATAACTAACTAACTAACTAACTAACTAACTAACTAACTAACTAACCAACTAACTAACTAAATAAATAGCTTAAGGGGAGAAATGTGGTCAGGGTGGGAAAGAATAAACCCTTTGCTTGGTGACACTAGGGTATTTTCTGAGGTTCTGAACTAATTATACAAAATCTTAGATTCTCTTCCTTCATTTCCACGCTATTCTATTCCAGTGGAAGAACTCAGAGTAGCTCACATGGCCTCAGAACACTCGCTTAAGAATGCATTTCTTCTCATTGCCCTTAAATAGAGCTGCTTCCTGCTCAAGAGGCAGAAATCTGCTGGCCCATGGTAAGATAATCGCAAGTCTGCTTGAGATGACTTCTTCCCTATTGGTGATGATACAGAGCTCTTTATTTTAAAGCTAATATTTACTGACACTATCTTAGGGAACCCTAATATAAACTTGCTAAGTTTTCAAGTGTATAGAGAAAAAACTGTGAAGAAATAGTAAAATAATTTCTGAAAAATATCATAAAATAGAGAAAAAATTATTGCCTATAATCTCAGTACTCTAATATACCAATTGATATACTTTGTAGCCTTCTAAGTTTTTTCTGTGAATGTTTAACATATATATGTTATACAAATATACATATTTTTAACATGTATATGTTTACATATATATATATATATATATATATATATATTTTTTTTTTTTTTTTTTTTTTTTTTTTTTTTTTGGGACAGAGTCCCACTCCATCTACCAGGCTGGAGTGCAGTGGTGCAATCTCGGTTCACTGTAAGCTCTGCCTCCTGGGCTCAAGCGATTCTCCTGCCTCATCCTCCAGAGTAGCTGGAATTACAGGCATGTGCCACCATGCCTGGCTAATTTTTGTATTATTAGTAGAGACAGGATTTCACCATGTTGGCCATGCTGGTCTCGAAATCCTGACCTCAAGTGATCCACCTGCCTCAGCTTCCCAAAGTGCTGGGATTACAAGCGTAAGCCCCCGTGCCTGGCCGTTTAACATAATTTTAATCATAACTAATATTTTTAAAGTTTTTCTTTCTTTCTCTTAATATTATGCCATAGTCATTTTCTAGGATACTAAGCATTCTTCATTAATTAGGCTGAGAGTTTTTTTGGAGGGAAGGCTGGGTATAGCTCTTCTTTTAAAAATTATTAATTAATTCTTATTTATAATTAATACATAAGAATTGTACATATTTATGGGATACAGTGTATGTTTCAATGCATGTGTACATTGCATAATGATCAAATCAGGGTAGTTACCATAGCTATCACTTTTTAATGCCAGTGTCATGCTTTTTCAGTTACTACAGCTTCAAAGTACATTTTGAGGTCAGGTAGTGTGATGCCTCTAGCTTCATTCTTTTTGCTCAGGATTGATTTGGTTAATCAGGGTATTTTGCATTTACATATGAATTTTAAGATTTTTTTTTATTTCTTTGAAGAATACCATGGTATTTTGATGAAGATTGCCTTGAATCTGTAGATCCATGAGATAATATCAATATTTTAACAATATTAATTCTTTTAATTCATGAATACAGAATATCTTTCCATTTATGTCTTCTTCAATTTCTGTCATCAAAATCTTACAGTTTTCATTGTAGGGATCTCTTACCTTCTTGGCTAAGTTTATTCCTAAATATTTTATTTATTTTATACCTATTGTAAATGGAATGCTTTCTTGATTTCTTTTTTAGATTGTTCGCTATTGGGGTATTTCGAAATGCTGCTAATTTTTGTATGGTGATTTTGTATGCTGGAACTTTACTAAATTGTGTTGTTTTTAAGTGACATAGATGTCCTATCATACATCGAAATGCATGAATTACCTCCTTGTAGGCATTGCATAAATGACAGCATAGTCCAATTACAGATTTTAAATATTACTCAGATTTTGTACATGCTACATTGTAACTGTCAGTGGATGGTTAACATCAGCACATTTCTAATGTATCACAATCCTGTTATTTAATTATACTTAAAACTTGGATTCATCAAAACTGGTATTTAGAAAAAGAACAAATATAATTGACATGAGACATCCAAGTAAATAATCATTGAATTTAGATATTTTTGAAGGTTGCTTAGATTTCTGTTCTACAATTTTGCTGAGAATTTATTTTACACTAAGGAATGTCTTTGGGTTATTTGCAGCTGTTGTGGCCTGGCCTTGCCCTGTTAGTGGTGATCTGTGGGAAGAGAAGGAGACAAATTGTGACACTGTCCCTTATCAAAGGACCACACAGTTGTTCGCCACGTTGACTCCATGATGGATAGTTATCTTGAGGCTTGATGGACATAAGGCTAAAAGTTCAGAGAAAAAGAGTGCAGGATCCCAGTAGCTCCTTGCTATTGACACTTACTTGATAATGTGGGTTTAATCAATCTTCTTTATTGTCTTTAGCTTCAGTTTTGTTTTCTTTTCCAGCTTCATTTTTCCCATCTCATCAGATTGACATGCAAAAAAAAAGTCTAAAGAGAAAAAAGACAAAAACTTCTGTTGTTGTGAATATACTGGAGACAGACGCAGTCCTATATACATATTCTTTGTACATAACATTTTCTGTGCATAACATGTGAACATATATATTTGTTTTAAGTTTTAATCTGATGAGTGGTTAGAGAAAGAAAAATAGATTTTTATGATCAAAAGTCGAATAATAATATTTACCTTGAGGAAAGATATTGTTCTTAAAGTATTTTGTTTCCTTTTTTTAGTGACCGAAGAATTTTATTCATTTTAATGTTTATGGACATGATATTTTAAATTTTAAGTTTAGCATACAGTCCATGAAGCCCATCTGACAAGGAATTAATAACCAGAATATCTAAGGAGCTCAAACAACTCTATAATAGGAAAAAAAATCTGATAATCTGATCAAAAAAGGGCAAAAGATTTCAATATATTTTGTTTGCTTTTGAGAAGCAGCACATTATCAATTACTGATCATTCAATTTTACATGTTTTCTAAACATTTGCTTTAGTTTAATATCTAGTTTATTAGATATTACATTGAAATAATTACTTCTGTATCCAAATATGGTGAATTTTTATTTGGTTGTCAGAGATTGATAAATTAACTTAAAACCGACTGCTTCTGCCGTGACTGAATTCTTCAAACAGAAGAATAGAAGGAGAAAGTCCCTGTGTTTTTTATGAACTTTTTGTTTGTTTTAATTTTTATTTTCCTTATAAGTTCTGGGGTACATGTGCAGGATGTGCAAGTTTGTTACATAGGTAAACGTGTGCCATGGTGGTTTGCTGCACCTATCAACCCATCACCTAGGTATTAAGCTCAGCATGTATTGGCTACTTTTCCTAATGCTCTCTCCCTTCTCCTACTCCACCCCCTGACAGGCCCCAGTATGTGTTGTTCCCCTCCCGTGTCCATGTGTTCTCTCTGTTCAGCTCCCACTTATAATTGAGAACGTGTGGTGCTTTCCATGAAATTTTATTTCCCCACTTAGTACATGGGATGGATGGGAGAAATAATATATTTTTCACAATTTTTTTTTTAGTATTTGAGAACATTTTTTGTCAGCTTTATTGAGCTATAACTTACACAAAATAAAATTCACCAATTTTGAGAGTACAATTTGATGAGTTTTAACAAATGTATACAGTCATATTACCACTACTAGAATCATGATATGGAACATTTCCATTACCACCCCAAACTTTCACTGTGCCCCTTTGTAGTCTTTACGCTGACCCACATTCCCTGGCTGCTGGTATCTACTGAAAAATGTGGATGACTGTACACATTTACATATCGTCCATGTACAAATGCCATGCTAATCTCTGTATTATTGCTATTGTGCTGCCCATATGGGTGCTTAAAACATTTTTAGAAGTAAGACCCATGGCTGTATATTAATTTGTTATTTTTTTGTAGCATTCATTTAGTAAATCTTCTAAGATGCTATTTCTAATAGTAGGTTAGAAATATACTGTCAGCCCTCTCAGAAAAGAAAAGTCAGCAGTTTCATGCCATGCACAGCATAATATAAAGCTTGAAATACTGCCTGGTCTCATGTCCAACTCATATCTCTTTTTGAAGCATTGAGGTGTTAATTAATAACTAGATTTACTTAGTCACCTAGTATTTTTTTCTTAGTCATCTAATAATAGTTACATTGCTGAGTTTTTGAAACCAAAAGTTGATTGACTCGATGCCTAAGTTAACCACTTTGTTATTTTTTTTAAAAGTTAGAAGGCACAAAGAACTGATGAAATACAGCTTCTAAAGTGTAGAAGAGAAAAGAAAGGCAATTTATTTTACCCTTCTTCTGGTTTGGCAAATGACTAAAAAGAAGGAAACAATAAGTGTGTGAAAATTGCTGTATATACCCTCGGCTGACAGTTTTGTTTTTTTTTTTTATTATAGGTGAAGAGATTTTAAGTGTAAGAGCACTGTTCATTGTGTACAAATACAAAGCATTCTTATTGTTGGGCATTATCAGTACACATACACTACACTGTGTAGATAATTTTAGTCATAATGAATATAGCATTTCATTTATTAGATTGAGAGGTTTTTTCAACTAAAAATAGGTGAGTATAAATGAAACCAGAATACATGTGTGTGCGCCCATGAAATTGGAAATGAATGAGAATCTGCTATAAATACTTGTTGTGCTCATATCTTAAAGTATGACTGTAACCATTTAGTTACTTGCAGTCATTTGTGTCTGGCTGTTTTAAAGAAGTTTTCTATTAAGAAAATTGAAAATATTAATATATCAATATTGAAATATTAATAAGGTATTGATATTTTGCTGATGTGTTAAATGTATCATATTGCAGTAGAGACACAATTGTTTACAGTGTAGATTTCAAAACAAATTTTTAATACATCACTTGCAAAACAAATTATTTAATGAAAGATGGGGAGCAGCTATAGAGGGAAAGCAATGATTTTTGAAAACATTTTTTTAACTTCTATGCATTTTTATTTTACTTCTATCTGTTTACCTCTTTCTATTTATAAGGCACATCCTCCAAATAATCCCTAGAGATTTACATTCTTTCTTTGGCAAGCACAAATAGAAAATGTCAGCTACACAAGAGTGAGAACCTATATTACCTTTCTGGAGTTATTTAGAAAAGGAGTGAAATTTAATTTGCATTACTCTTTGTGTACATATTCCGAAAGAGCTTACTCCCTGAACCTCAAATCTCTAAACTCAGGATTTCCTAGTGATTTGAGACTTATAAGGAGCTCAAAGTGTTTGAGAACTCCAGAGAAAGCTTACTCCTATTATTTTCTCATTAAAATGCAGGAGCCCCAAGGGATGCAGTTTTATACAGATAAATTTTAGATAAATATCTGAACTTCTGGGCATATTTGAACCCACGTTATGAATCACGCACAGTTCTGTCAACTCTAGTAAGAACCCAAAGTATAATATTAACTTCTCATCCGTATGCTTCTTTTCCAGAGTCTCTTTGTCTTCGCCTTAAGCACATCCAAGCTCAGTAGCACACATTGTAATCAAGCTCAGTGTTGTAAAGAATGAAAAATATTGAAAGGTGAATGTAACTGCTAATATTTCATGCAACACTTGCCCTTTGTAATAGCACTTGGCCACCCACATCAGCAGCATGGGTGTGAGCTACATCTGTTCTTCCGTCGCAGTGTCTTTCCTAAACCGAGGGGTTGTTCCTGTGGTTTATTGCTGCCACATGGTTGGCATTGTTATTTCATAACCTAAAGCCCCTTCTTATTTCCTGCTTTGCCCCTGAAACCTTCACTCCTGCATGTTTTCTTTCCTCTTACCCTGACTCTCTAACAGCTGAACTACATAAATGCCAAACAGCGACATGAATTCCTAAACAGAAGCTGCCACAAAACAACGCTGCTCCAACCAAGAAACACACATGTAGAGGCACATGACTGACAGGGCTCAAAAGGCAGGTTTTAGTAAATGACAAGTGTGAAGTTCGCATTGTTACTGTAGTTGATGGTAGCTCGTATTTACACAAAAAAGTCATTCACATTTCAGAACAATTCAGCATAACTGGCAGCTTGGGAAAGAAAAGACTTAAAATCCCTTAAAGATGAGGAAGACAGGAGGAGTACAGAATCCAAAGCATTCTCTCACTTTGGAATATGTTGGCATCTTTTGATTGGGTTTTAAAATTGGGATATTGGAGAAGCAGCAGGAAAAGTTGAAATTATAAATTATTTTTGTTATGAACAAGAGAGAACAAGAGAATGAAAAGAAAGAGCTGTTCATCTTTTATTTCTTCATAGCATAATTTCATTCAGTGTTAATTAAAGTCAAAAAATACATTATCTTTTTATATATGCTCACTGTCATTACTATAGGAATACCTATGGCATCTAGAAATACAGAAAGGAAATATCGTGGGATGTCGATCTATTTTATGTGATGAGTGTTATGATAATTGCTAATAAAATGTCATGAAATATATCATTTGAACATTGCTTTTCATCAGTTAAAACAATGTTATAAGGTGTTATCTTAAGAAAAAAACATAACATTATTCCATAAATGTCCTATCATTCAAAGGTACAGGTTTTTTAAAAAAGATTTCTTTCTATTAGTAGAGTGGGTGGTCTACTGACTGGTAGTGGAAGAAAATATAGTAGAAGCCAGAATATTAATGTGCTAAATAAGGAAAAAGTCATCATCAAGGATAAAAATTATGTACAGTCAGATAAAGTACAGTGACTGGAGGGAGACCTTTGAGGAGTGCCATCCTAAAACTAGTGGCATCAGTCATTTTGCAAGAGTAATACATCTTGGACTTGGTTCAGAGGGGTATAAAGAAAGGACAGGTCCATGTGGTGACCTTCACTCTGATCAGAACTAAGATGGTTATGAAGATGTGACCCATCAGCACTAACTAGGAGACTGTTTATGAGATGGCCAGTGAGATTTTTATTTCTTGTTATCCAGCTGTAAATCAGCATTAAAAGAATCTTTGTTTCAGTCCAAGTATCTAGAAAATAACAGCTTTGCCATGTAGTGGATACAATGCTTTTAATATATCATGTGGCTTTGAATTTTTTTAACCAAAGAAGGTCATAACATTTCATTAACACTGTTGCTTTTATGGCAGTGGTTCATGATTTGTCAAAGGCTAAGCTGAGTCTAGCTGTAATTGGAAAGTATCTTCTTAACGAAAGTATTATAATATGAAACAATCAATGGAAAAAAATTCGTAAATAAAAAACCTTCTATAGATTTTAAAATGGAGGAAAGAAAACACATCTAGTGTTTTCTTTATTGCCTTAAAATGCTTCTATTCAAATAGTAAAAAACTTAAATTGAATCTCAAAAAGTACCAAATCCAAACTTTTCATTTTATAGTTGAGAAAATGAGCTCAAAGAGGGAGGATAAATGCTTATACTAGTATGACCAGCTGGTTGGCTGTTTATAAAATTTCTTTCTTCTTCCACCTTGATAGTAAGGTATGACCTTGTGATGAAGTTCTACTCATAAAAGGTGGGCAGATCTGATGTGCTCTACCTCCAGATGGTGCTCATCAGAAACTCTCTGCTTGATCCTCCAGGCTTTTTACCTGTCTGTTGAACTGAGTGAAGGACCCAGAGGCCCTATGATGTGGTGTAGCTTCGAGAGAAGGAAGCCTAGATCCCTGAATCATTGTGCAGAACATACTTATCCTACAGCCATATAGGACTGTTATATGAGTAAGCGCTGAAGTTATTTCTTAGGTTATTGAACTTTCCAAGCATATCTATTACATTAATTAGTGTTACCTCAATAAAAGCATGTACTTCACAGAACAAACTTTCCTCTCTCTCTCTTTTTTTTTTTTTTTTTTTGGTCAAAGAAATGAAATGTAAGTCACTGTTGCAACACCAGGAGAAGGAATACTTCTGCCAACAGCCTAATCTTTAGCCTGATCCTTGGAATGGTGAATTTCTTTCCTCCTTCTTGTCTGTTCCCTCTACATCTCTCAGGTGTTCCTTCCTTTGTAGTCTCACTATTAAAACACTATTCTGGACTTTATCATTTGAACTTCCATTGTGGCAAGAACCTCTTAACTGGTCTCTGAGCCCTTGTATGCTTCTCTTTTCTTTCTTTCCATATGCTAACATAAGAATAATCTTGCTTAGGGGCGGATCTCCTGAGGTCGGGTTTCGAGACTAGCCTGACCAATGTGGAGAAACCCCATCTTTACTAAAAATACAAAATTAGCTGGGCGTGGTGGCGCATGCCTATGATCCCAGCTACTCCGGAGGCTGAGGTAGGAGAATCGCTTGAACCTGGGAGGTGGAGGTTGCAGTGAGCTGAGATCACGCCACTGCACTTCAACCTGGGCAACAAGAGCAAAACTCCATCTCAAAAAATAAAAATAACAAAAAATAATAATCTTGCTCAGGAAAACTCGAATGGCTCCTATTTAAAGCAGAGGTAAATAATGAGAGATCCTGGGATATCTGTGGTCTCTAAACGTGTTTTGATTGGCTGATGAGATGTGCTTATGCTTTATTTAACTTTATTGCCAATATTTAAAAATTGAGATAGTAAAACTCTTTGATTTCTGTATTCTTTTGACACATTATCTGGCAGCATTGGGTCACCATTCTTGCAAGAAAGCCATCAGCTGGAGCAAAGCATGCACTCTACAGTTTGCCCTCATTCCCACCTGTATTATTTAGGGTTTTCCAGAGAAACAGAGCCAATAGGATGCAAATATATATAACACATGCAGAAAGAGAGCGAGAGTGAAAACAAAAAGGTTAGGGGGTGGGAGGTTATCATAAGGAATTAACTTACACGCTATGGAGGCTGACAAATTCTAAGACCTACAGTTAGCAAACTGGAGACCCAGGAAAGCTGAAGGTGGAAGTTCCAGTCTAAAAGTTAGCAGGCAAGAATGACAATTATTAGTAATGAATGAAAGTGGGAAGTGTACTAATTAACCTATAGCAATCAAGATAATGAGTGAATTTAGGACAAATGTAATCTATTTACGTATTAATTTCATTGGAGTAATATTTGTTTTCCTCTTACCATATACCAAGTACTATGCTAAGTGCTTTGTGTACGTTATCTCATTTAATATTAAAGTAACTCTTTGAAGGAGTTACTGTGATTATCTCCATTCTGCTGAGAAAACAGATTTAGAGAGGTTAGGCTTTGTCTATGGCCCCAAAGCTAGGACATGACTGAGTTGGAATCCAAACTCAGGCAGACTGGCTTCAGAGTCCAAGATCTTACTTAAACATTATGCTAGACTGTCTTCCCAGATTTACGTGTGTTTTATAAATATGGCAGAAGATGATAAGTAAGTCAAAATTTCAGTGATGGCAATAAATACAGC
This sequence comes from Homo sapiens, assembly GCF_000001405.40. Taxonomy (NCBI): domain Eukaryota; kingdom Metazoa; phylum Chordata; class Mammalia; order Primates; family Hominidae; genus Homo; species Homo sapiens. Next base: position 89,076,875 of record NC_000005.10, read on the forward strand.
AAACCAAAGAGAGTAAACTGTTTGCAAAGTGAATAGTCAATGTTGTTAAATGAGTGGAATTGAGTAAAATTCAGGAAATTACATGATACCAAAGTAACATCATAAAATGAGATATTAAAAAATACAGCACACAATCATCAGCACAGAAGTTGGGACACAATAGGAGAAAAGATAGCTGAGACTGGACGAAAACTCATAATTATAGTAAATAAGTTGTTGCTGTCTTAGGTAATTATGTATTATGGGTACAGTTTCTGTTGCATTGGTTCCCAAAGATTCCCTAATCACTTCTATAGATAAGCCAAGCACATTGAGGCATAATACCATGCTGTGAGATATTACAGGTCTATTTGGCACATTGTAGGTGCTCAAAAAAATTTTGAGAAGGAAAGAAGGTAGGCAGACTGGCTGTGACCTCATAGGAAAATGAAGATAGTAACATCAGGGTTGTTTTTTTTTTTTTTTCCAGAATAACTGTTTCAAATATAACAGGAAACTGATGAGAGGAGGCTTGGTTTAAATTTGCAGTGGTCTTACAACTGACAGTCTAAACATTAAAGAATCTAAATGTCGACTACTTGATATTTTATAATATCTGGCTGGCTAGATGTGACTGATATTTTGCTCTTTCACAAATGTTTTATTTTATTCATCTAGCTCGAAAATCGATATTTGACCTAATGTGGACTCATGTGGGAAGGAATGTTATTATGTTGCCTGGCAGATGAGAACTAAAAATTGCAGAGAGCTATGAAATATTTTAAAAGGGCACATTTTTTTCTCCACATGATATACCAAGATTGATTGTTGTCCTTCGTTAGTCCTGGGGAAGGAGTGGTGTCTCTAGCTAATTATTGTGTCTTTTAAAAGCCTGTCTTGGCAAATTTCTCTCCCCTTTAGCATCTCTCCCACAAAATTTTTCACTTAAGAAATCAAAGAGTTAAATATAATAGTCTCATATTTCCTCAGTAATATAGTGTAGCACAATTAGATATGCTACAGTGAGACTCTCAGTGATATGGTCACAGTTTGGGCTGGATGGAATTTAGCCTCTGAGCAGTAAGATACAAGGTCTTGGCTAGTTTTAGTGGCTAAAGCTGCATCTCAACCTTGCTACATAGTGTGGAATCCAACTGAAGTGCTCAGTCTAAGAACATTTTATACTTTATATTATTGAAAACCATCATGGTAAAAACTCAAGCTGCCCATTTATTATATATGCATGTATAACATCTATGTCTATACCTATGTATACATATGTGCATATGTATGTATGTATATCATTATGAAAATTTGTTTTCTTTCCAACTGATTTAGAAAATAGAAAAATGTAGACTTGGATTTCTCTAAACAAACTAGGATGAGAGTGGATGGGCATTTGTTTCTCTGCATTCTCTGCATAAGGGGCTGGATACATAGTAATATCTTTACTTAATAATAGATCTTTCAATATGCTGAATGATTTCAATTAATTGAATCTCTATCTGTCTATCTACCAACCAATCATCTAATCATTAGTTCTGTAAGTTCGGTCTGTGGATCCTGAGGGGGCTCCTTTTGACTTTTTAGGGAGACTGCATTGTCAATGCTATTTTCACGATAGTAGTAGGATGTTATTGCCTTTTTCACAGTGTTGACATTTACGCGGATGCTGCAAAAGTAATGATTGGGAAAACTGCTGAAATCTTAGCAGAAAGACAGTGACACCAAACTGTAATAGTAGATACTGCCACACACAAGAAAAATAAATTAGTTTCCTCTAAATACTGCCCTTGGTAAAGCAATATAAATTATTAACTTTATTATGTCTTTATCCTTGAGTATGTAACTTTTTAACACTGTGTGACAAAATGGAAAGTACATGTAAAGCACGCCTACTGCATCCTGAAATACCATGGCTGTCTTGAAGAAACGTAGTTGTGCTATTGACCGAGTTGCAAGTGAATGGAACACCATGTTACCTGAAATATGACTGACAAATACACTATGATTAGTTAATACTTGAGTATTTGACAAGTATTTTCTTATAAATAAATTTCATGTAAATATCAAGTTCCAGCACCACTTGTTAAAAAGATTTGCCTTTCCCCCATTGGATTGCTTTGGTGCCTTGATTGAAAAATCAATTATCTGTATAAAATTGCTTCCAGTTTGGATTCTATTCTGTTCTGTCAATCTATTTGTACATTTTTGTGCCAGTACTATTCCGGTTTTTTTACTGTAACTTTATAGTAGGTATTAGAATCAAGTGGTGTAAGACCTCCAATTTTTAAAATCTTTTTCCAGTTGTTATGGCCATTTGTAGTCATTTGCATTTTCATATAAGTATTAAAATCAGCTTGTAAACTTATATAAAAAACCTAATAGGGTTATCATGGAGATAAAGTTAAATTTATAAGTTGATTTTAAAAGAGTCACAAATATTAAATCTTCTAATCCATAGGCATGTTAATGGCCTTCTTATTTATGTCTTCTTTAACTTCTCTAAGCAGCATTTTTTAGTTTTCAATATAGTCTTATATATCTTTGCTGAAATTAATTTCTAAATATTTTGTGCTAATATAAATAAAACCATTTTAATACTAACTTTCCAATCATTCGCTCCTAGTAGATTGAAATAAAACTGGGTTTTATTTATACATTGGCTTTTAATATGAGACTTGCTAAATTCACTTGTAAGTTAGTTCCAGTAGTTTTTCTTCTTTTCCTGTTGATTCTTTAAGACTGGCTCTGTAAATATGCATGTAATCTGTGAATAGAAATAGTTTTATTACTTCTTTTTCTGCCTTTGCTTTTCCTCACCTTTTTGTCATATTATACAGGCTAAGACTTCTGGTCCACTATTGAATAGTAGTTGTGAATGTGGACATCCTGGCCTTATTCTCCATCTTATGGGTGAAGCACCCAGTGTTTCACCATTAAGTATGTTGTCAGCTGTAACTTTTCAATAGATACCACTTATCACATCAAGTCATTATTTTTTAGACATAACTCAATTTTGACTCAAAATGTTATTCTTACTTATTACTCAAATTGGTCCTAAATATATTTGGATGTTTAAAAAAATCGAATTCATGCCCAAACAATGTCTTGACATTAAAGATTTTTAAAGAATAGTTTATTTAAGATTGGTAGCAAGGCATGTCTTTGAAGAGGAGACATGAAGGATTAAGGGATAGAAATGAAAAGGGACATAAGTTTCATTGTGTATCCTTTTATATGTTTTGAGAATGTCATTATATTCATTTACTATTTATTCAAATGACATAGTCATATGTAATCTATTCAAATTTCCATTTAATGTTACTTACCTACTCGCTGTAAGGGTAATTGAAAAATACAGATTAAAAGATTGGAAAACAATTTGGCATTATTTTGTGAGGCTTAACATTTATCTTGTGACCCAGGTATCCAATTTCTATATGTTCTTGAATTTTCATAGTGAAGTGTCATAAAAGCAAAAAATGGGGAAGAGAACTTGAAAGACCATTAGTGGAATAATAAATAAAAATTTATTATATAGTCACATAATGGGATATTACACAGCAGTAAACATTAACTTGATCTACAGTTACACACAATAGCACAGATAAATCTTAAGAATGTAATCTTGAGTGAAATAAACAAGTGTCCAAAAATGCAGACAGTATGATACCTGTTTATAACATTCAAAACTAAGTGAAAGCAAACAATGTATGCACATGTGTGATAAAGCAGGCAGATAGGTAACACACAATTCAGAATAAGAGTGACCTCTGAGGAAAGGGTAAGTAGGGGCTGGAAAGGAGGATGTGCATCACCACAGATGTAGAGAGACGAGTTGGTGCATTGTCAGAAGTCTGAAAGAACTCATTGGTTTTGCAGAATCGTCAGTGTACTGAAGCTCAGACACCTTTATAGGGTTGCTCAAGATATTTAACACCTTTGTTTCTTCATTGCACTTGTCTTAAAAAACTCATTAAAAGATGTCTAAGAATCTTAAAAATATAGTGGTTCTCAAGATGAATGTATATGTGTATACGTGTGTAAACACATGCACACAAGTCATCTGGTTTTCCCCAAACCCCTTCATAGACAAAATGTTGATGTAAAGCTGATGAAATTTGCATATGAGAAAAAGCTAGGAGAGATAGCTTATATTTTAGGTGACAAGCAAACACAAACACCCGAAAGAATCCTATGCACGATGCTAATAACAAAGTGAATGTGATCAGGCATATAAAATGTGGAGAACTGTTGAATTATGACTATGTGGGATTCCCACACTTAACTATAATTAAAAGTTAAAATTAATTATGTTGGTCCAATATGCTATCAAGTCTATATCTTTTTATTTTTGAGCCTTGATTCTTTAGTTTAACTGGTAACTGCTAAATATTTAAAACAAACATTTTTGTATTGCATTTTGTAGCACTGGAGGTGGATTGGATTAAAATAGAGATCTTTTTAAAAACACCAGTTTCTTTGCCTTAAAAATACTCAGCCTGCATGAGTAACTACAGTAAACATCTAGTATTCCTGGAGCATATCTATGTTTTCTGAACAAAGAAAAGACAACTTGTAAGAAAGGTAAAGAGAAGAGTGTCTCAGTGGTGCATTCGATTGAAACGCAGAAAAGAGAAACAAGAAAAACTAGGGCAGTGATAGAGACCACAGCACAAATTTGCCTTCTGTGCAGTGATGGGGGTAATCAGTTTGCTAGAATAACCAGCCAGGTGAAAAAGAGCCATGCTGCCACCTAACAGTTTCCTGCAGGGTTTTTTCATGTTGCAGGCCATGTAATCTATGACTGAGCTTTTATAAAACCTTGAACTTGGTTTTCCTGAATGGATCAAGCATTGAAATCCTGATAGAGATAACAAATAATATGGTTCCAAGTTTATCTTGTGTATTAGCCACTGTTCAAAGAAAGCTTGATCAACAAGTAAGGCTTCTCTCCCATGAGTGATTTGGTGGTCTCTTTAGAAATTGTGACTGTGACTGAAATATTGTAATGCCTCATGTACACAGAAAACATATCTAATTATATCCCAGAAACATATAGAATAATTTAGAATGACTTAATGGAGACCTGTACAATAATTTGATGGATCTCCTTTACTGAAAAATTTAATCAAATTTCACAACTAATCCCATGGATAATTTATTAATTTTTAAATAATATCCACCAGATTAGTTGAATGGTTTGGATTTCCTGTTCATAATTTTAATTTTAAGCCAGCTGTTTCTCAGGAGAGAAGACCAACAAACTAAACAAGGCAAACTTACATTTAATGGCATACCTACCAGAGTTCAGAGGGTATGCTTTACAGAAAGCATTTGCACTTTTTCCTTTAAGAATTTTATTTTTCAGCTATTCTACATATTAATAAAATCAGAAAAATAGTACAAGTAAAATAACACCAATAGAAATACATTTCCCCCAAAAGAAACTTTGCATATCAAAACCAAAATTGTTCTTTTAGTGAAAAGAACATTAAATAACATAAGATGTGGTACATATATTGTCCTTTTTCAAATGGCAGAATTTTCATTGATTCACTCTTATAGCACTATGAGTTTGAGGTAGCAAAACATTTATGGTGGCATTTAAGATTCATATTAACAATATCTATGAAGATTATTCTCCATATGCTTTATGTTCATTTTATATATTGCATACATAATTATATGATGATTTATAATGGTGCAGTCCTGTAAAGTGATTTTTCAGTCCTATAGCTTTTCAGTCAAGTTAGCCTCTAATTTGTAGAGTCCCTCTCTTTCCTGTATCAGTGGCTCCTGCGCAAAACACCATTTCTCATTAAAGGTTCCCATTCCCTTTGGCAGTCAGGATGAAATCTCTAATCAAGCTCGAGGAAAGAGCCAGAGTTCAAAGATGTCACTGGGTCCCAAGGCTGGTCTTATGTAGCTGGCTAAAGGTTCTCAGGCTTAACATTCCATCTGTGAAGAGAACTGTCAGGGTCAAATACTCCAATCAGCTGTCAAATAAAGCATATTAAATGAGTGAAAAAGGAGAGTGAGAGTTTTATAAAGAGAACATAAAGCTTCAATACTCGTTTCAGTCTGTAATTTTAGCAATTGCTCCCCATGAGTACATCAGGTTATGCTAACCCTAGAATTCCATTGCTTTTGGAAGCATGCAGTTTTTACACCTAGTGACCTCTTCTTTTCACAATATATCATTCTTCATCCTCCTCGCCTTTTCCTTATCTTCCCCCTTCCTGCTTTCTCTTCTAAGTAGTACAAAGTTTATGAATGTATATGTAGGGTAAAATGATGTTACTCAACATATTCCTATGGGATTAATGCTTTCAGAGACTTTCTTTCTGAAAATTAATATCATTTCTGAGACAGTAAAAAGACAAACTCTTTTCTAAGACCTCAAGAGAACAATAAAAAGCAAGCTTGTATTTTGAGTTGGGACAAAATTCTACAAAGATGTATATTGCAGATGTCAAATCCAATATTTGCTCCTGATAAGTATGTAGGACTCCCAGGAGTCTGTCTTGTAGGAGGAAAGAATAACAGGCTTAAGTCCCGTGATGCAAATGTGAGAAAAGAATTTTGCCCATAATTTTAGCTTAACATTTGGAGAAGGAAGTTTCAATTTAATCTTAGAAAGTGGATTCTGTCTGTTCTCCTTTCACAAAACAGCAGTACCATTATGAATTACATTTGACTTCATAATGTCCACAATGAAGTTTTTTTGCTTTTGATATGTGCAAATAAAAACAAAGGAGATACTTTGTATTTTAGCTCATTTGAATCTTTCACTCCTGAGGGACAGTTAATGCCCTTTTACAGATAAAGTGTGGCCACAGTTCATGGGTGTATAATATATTCTAATGCTCACCATCACCACATTCTTTGTTGGAATGGTCTTGACTGCATGAATTCGCCAGATTATAAAATATTAAGGCTATCTTTGTTCACATGTTTCTTAAAAACATATCAAACTACTTCAAAAAATGGCCCAGAATTTATTCATCCCAGAATGACATCAGAAGGCATTTGACCCTTGCCGTCATGGTTTCTGATGTCAGAATCTTCAATGAAAGTATTCCTTTGTAAATCAGCAGTCCATCTATTACCCATAGTATTTGGATGAGTCAAATGGCTTGTTTATGACATGTTTGATGTTTTGTGAATCCTGCCTCCTGATTCACTTCAAGTACTTTATAATTATATTCCTTGAAAACAGATGCTTTTAATATTCAGCCTGAGTGTTTTAGAAGCTACACCAATATTTTGTTTGTGGTATTTTCTGATGCTCATAGCCAAAATATGCTAGTCAACTTCTCAGAAGATCATTTTATTATGCAAGAACCTGGGGCAGTTCAGCTTCTGAAGATTTTCCTCCAAAGTGAGATATCTAAACTCTATTGCTCTATGGCAGAGGACCAGCTCTCAGCATTTTATTTCTTTGAATAAAAATTATGATAAGATTTTTGTCAGATACTGACAAGCAATTTCAGAAAATGATAATGTGGCTCTTGTCCTGGTTTCCCCTTCCTTCTGTTGGGCTGAAGAGTTTTCCTCAAGCCTTCTCAGGAAGAAGGCCCAATTAACATCACTCATTCTTGTGCCACTAAAACCTGCACAATGATTTGAAAAAAACACCCCTAATTTGAAGCTGTTAATACAGCTGTAATTTTATTTCTTGAACATTGCCTCTTATAGGGTACTGCCAATCTATGAAAACAAACCAGTAATAGCACCATTTGAAAACCACCCAGGGTCAATTGTCCTCTTTTCTTTTTTCTAAATAACCTATTAAAAGACTCCTAGCAGCTATAACTATAACTAAAGAACTAGCAGTGCCTATTATGCCTGGGTAGTAGTAGTGGTAGCACAGCACCAGTCCCAGAAATATTCCAAACCAATAGTCTAGCAATTTTCCATGCCCAGGGTACTCAATCTGAGAAAGAGTTTGGCTGTTCGTAAATGAAGAAGTGAAAGGTTTTTATATCTATGATTTTTCAGAATGCAAAATTTTAAAGACAATTTCTGTCCACTACCATGAGATGCATAATTTTAATATTTGATTTCTGGAGTATTTTTGGCCTTGACATAAGACATATTGTGTGGATGTGTGCTGAAACTGAACTTAAGAGTGAGTTGTGCAAAGCTTGAAAACATATTGGCAAGGCATGTATACATTTGTATACTCACTTGTGAATTACCACAATTTGTAGGTACTGTTGGTTTGAAAACAATAATGCTACTAGTAAATAAAACAACTATTTTTTCCTCTCCTTTCTGGACCAGGGTCTCTATCTGCTGATTTGGCTATTTATATTGCTTAGGTGTTACGTTTTATGCTCTGATTACATTCTATAATGTGCTTTTCTTTGGCTATTAATATGACTATATGATGTATGTTAGAAATTTCTTGAGGAAAGGAACAATGCCATGTGTTTCTCGGGTACTCTTTAATATTTGATATATTACAAGGCACATAGTGGATACTAAATAAATACTTAATAAATAAGTTAATTAATTCCATATTTCTAAGGTTTTACATATTAATGTCTCTGCACAAGATTTTACAGTTTAGCTATTCTTGGTACATAATCTAATATTACCATCTGTCTTTTTAGGGCATTATTACAGAAAAAAAATGTATTGTCTAGAGTAGTTGGGCTATGCATTATTCTGTTTAATCAAGTATTCTAATAAAGATTTATTCTGAATATCATTAATGGATTAATAATTTTGAAAATTTTTTTCTGCTATAATATGTATTTTAATGCTAAACCTAAATTAAACAAAGTTAAACCTTAATGACTCAATAGATACCTCTTGGGTCTAGGTTAATCAAACCATTAAAAGAAAGAAATATCTGCTGATAGAGATTTTAATTGTCAAATGATGGTTAGGTAAGCTGCTAATTATGTGAAATGATTTAAAAAGCTATTAAGTTACATGGAAGAGAAAACGTCCAGAGGAATATGGCTGTATATTTGTGTTTATGTATGAATATATTCTGTAAAGTATTCTTAAAACCCAGAATGTCAAAATGACACTCATCTTTAATATTGTTCAAGAGTAATTAAGTAGCTAAAATTAAGAAGTTGCCTTGTTCCATCATGGACAGTAAACCCTTTTGTTGGTTTGTTTCTCCTCATATCTCCCTTTATTTTGCACACCATATAATTCACCCATAATCTCTGCTCCATGCTTCAGAAGAAAAGGTGAAGGGTGGAAAAATATTATCTACTAACTGAAGTTTCCAGGGTCAGACAGTAATCCCTCTCTTCTCAAGCTTCAAAAAAGCTTCCAAATAAATGTATGCATTCCCATTGAGCCTGTTGCCCTCTAAAATAGCTCACCCTCTTCAGAAGGAGCTACCTGCATCCCCTAAACATTGTCTCTCCCATCTACATTCAAACTGTCCTTAGTCTCCTAAGTGACAAGGGAGAATCAAACTGAGTTGAGAATTTGTCCAACAGGACTACAAATTATCTTCAATATCTTTTTCTGACCACCCACCTTACTCCTAAGGGAACCCTTTATGAATGAAATTATCCCAGGAATTACTATCTCTGAAAGTGGAAATAACAGGAGGAGTATTACAATGCAGACATACGCAGTTATTATTTGTAACATTGGCAGGCTAAGTCAAGGTTTTTTTTTCTTTAAAGCATAGAGGGAGATGGATGTGTAATCTCATTCTGTCAAGAATGCTGAAGATTTTCATACATCACTGTGTTTCAAAATAAATTACGTGCATAGTAGGCTACATTAAACCAACATTCAGCACTGAATGTTTCTTCACCATTGCGATGCTTTTTTATCTCTTGAAATAAGAAACACATTTAACTTGGTTTCTATGATCATCTTGAAAATAATGCTGTCTTGTTTTGGCATAAAGTAGAAACATATATTTTTAATCAAGAAGTATGCTTTTCATTGAGAAAAGGGGAGAGCCAGCACCTCGTGCTAACTTTAAAGTGGTTTTATAGAGTTGTGGAGGGTGGACATGGCCCACTTCATCCGTTGGTTAACATGCCCACTGCTGACATCAGGGCTGGCTTCAGAGGAATATTACTGAGTGAGGTTTCACTCACTTCTGTCAAGTCTTCTCTCCCACCTCAGGATGAAAAAAGGGAAATGTCATTTCTTTTAAGCTTGGATGCCATGTTCAGACTTTTCCCACAGGCTTTATTTTAGACTTTTACCTCCTGCACTGCTAATGGGAAATTGCCAGTAGTGTTGACTCTCTCTCCTACCCCATCAAATTTTCTTTTTTAGCTAAATATGTACAAAAAGTTTTATTGAAACATGCCAAGTCACAGCTCGGTATTCCCTGATACTACACAAAATGAGTTGCAATAAAAATAGCACTGAAAATCTGAAATTACTGAATGCACCCATTTTTGCAGTTAAATACCATGAAAGACAGAAGGGAATTTACAATATGCTTCAAAGGGGTTGGGGGAAACACCTCTTCTCAGTCTAATAAAACTTAGTAGCTCGGGGTCACTTCCTAATAGGTGCCATTTCCTCTATTTTAATAAAGGTATTTTAGCACCTGAATTCTATGCCAGATACCATTGTCATTTTTTCCAGTGACTGGCTCAACTAAATGCTAGTGGGGGCCAGACACTCTTCAAACACTGCTGCTTAATGCCAAACACAACTAACATGCATATGGAAGAAGCCAGGAAAAGCAGTAACCTCCCTAATTATAGCCAAAGGCTCAGAAGTCCAGAGACCATACAGGAACCTCTAGCTTCTGGGGTGGACAGGGGTCAGGAAGCTCCTCCACCACGGATCCCTGAATTGGCAGCTATCCTTCCCCACCCCATCAACACAGAGTCATTTTTTGCCTGCCAAATCCTTGTCCAACCCCAATTCAAATCTATTTATACTCGCCTTTCCTATTTCTGGGCTCAGATGTTAGCCCATACGGTGTGTTGACCGGCACTAAATGTTACTGTGCGAGACCAGCGTTTGCCAGCTTCCTTGGTTGCTGACAGCAGGGAGACAAAAGTTCTGAATATTCGGAGGGACCTTAATCTTCTTAGCATAATCCTGGCCTCAAAGTGGTGGTAAGGTTCAACTTAAAAGCACCAGTCTCCTGAAATGGAAGAATTTAAGAGGTTAAGAGGTGATGCCAGCTGGACTCCTTCGGCCACAGTGATGGATGCCCAGCAGTGGTTCTTAAACTGTGGTGGAGGCAAAAATCACCTGGGGAATGTGTCAGTGGTGCAGGTACTCGGCCTGCCTACAGAGAATCTGATTCAGTCAGACTGGGACGGGCCTAGGAATTTGCTTTGAGTAAGCACTACGGGTGATGGTGATGCAGGTGGTCTGAGGCTCCGACTATGAGAAGCAATCCTAGGTCTACACTGCTTTCCCCCAGAATGCCAGGCTCTGTTTCAAGAGTAAGGGGATTAGCAACCCAATTTAAACACCTTAGTGATGGAGTGCTGCTTTAATTCAGATTTATTTAAAGCTTTGGAACACTGAACTTTGTTGTAGAAGCTTTACTTAAAATTCTGAGGTAGACTAACCTCCTTTTCTGAGTTCAATTTTAACAAGGAAGGCTATTTGAAGACTGCGGTCCTCGGTTTGTGAGGTCTGAGCATAAAAAGAAAATAAAACCCTACAAGTTGGACCTTCTTATGTAAAACTAGACCTCATTCTTTTTAAAAGGTGTGACCTTGGATCATTAAAATTTTTCTGAAGAGAAGAAATCTGGGATAGATAGCTTTCCTGATAAAATGTGCAGTCGAAATTGTAAGCAGCTTATGTGGTGCTCTATCATTTACGCTGTTTAAGGGGGCACTTAAATGAAAAGGAATGTTTTAAAGTTAACTCAGCTGAATTCTATGTAGAACAGAATAAGCAATCCCCAGGGTGCACAGCTTTTGATGTGTTCTTCTGCTTCACTATTTATGGATAACTTAAGAAAACAGTGCCACCTTCCATTTTGAGGGGAGTGGAGTAGGTGGGCGATTCTGTGCTGTGCAACCATAGAACAAAAGACATAGCACATTTAAATAAAAATAAAATAAGCAAGTATTATTCATACAACAGTGCCAAAAAGAGTGAGCCCTTTGTTCTAGTCATCAGAGTTTGTGGGTTTGGGTTTTCAGGGTAGACAAACACACAAGTAAACACTTTTTTTTTTTTTTAAAGAGGTAAATGGGTAAATAGAGGGGAAGATATTTGAGGATATGAGCAGGGCAAATAGTAATAAGACTTTTAAAAAATCTTGTATTTGGATTAACAGTGAAACCTAATGATTGCTTTAGGAACTGTGAGTATGAAAGACTAGGTAGGATTAAGTAAAATTGTTTCTTTCAGAGAAAAAGAAGCATTGATTATTAGTGAAGGTATAAACTCACATGATGTGAATTTTCTTTTGTGGATATATGTAAAATATTAGGTAGCTCTTAGGCAATTGGACATTACAGGAAAAAGACTTTTTAAGATAAAAAATAGTCAAGTATCTGTGCCAATCCATAGCTCTTTGTAAAGTATAATTCCCTCTTGTTATTCTTTAAATACTAATTGGATTTACAAAACAATGGACGGTACCAATCTATCAATACATATATTACCCTGCATGATGAAATTTGGTCAGAAACAAAGGTATGTCTGAGAAGAGGGCTGTTAGATAACAAAAAAAGTTAGATAAAACAACAGCATGTTAACTAGCAATATAAATATAAATCTTTTTTTAGTATGGTAATATGACTGAAGATTTCTCAATATCTTTATTAAGAGAAATGCCACCCCCTTCCCACCATAGGGTGTTGAAAAACATGAAAATAAATGACCCCCTAAATTTCATAGTACTTTCTAAGAAATATTTTTAGATGATACACTGTTAAAAATGATAAGAGCTTTTTATACTTGATTATGATCAAAATCAAACTCATTTCCTTCATGCAATGTTAGCCTATATTTCTAAAGGCAATATGAACATAATTGCCAATAGAGTTTGTCCACCAATTTATAGCTGTCAATAAGATTTCCATTTGGATAGGGAATTTATAAACTCAACAGTTCCTAGTCATTGCAGTGATGTTGTATGTAGCACCTGGCATGCAGTATGCTCAGAGTAATGAGCCCATTCTGCAACTTACTCTATCAGAACTCTGCTATGGGCTATCACAGATATATAAAATATTTAAAGACACCTATTTTCCCCTCCATTTAGTGTGTATTATAAAATAGTTGGATACTCTACTAAAAGCATATCTCTCTGCCTTCATAAACAGTTCTGGAAAGAAAGCAAAAGACATTTAAAGCATCAAAGAGGCTGATGAATAGGGATGCCAGGATATTCAAATACATTTAGAGACAGTATTGTCAAGCTTGTTTTCTGAGCCATGATACTAAAGATAGTAGGAGCCAGCAAAGAAAAGAACTCTGTAGAAATGCAAATCTCTTCAATGTTGAATCTATTAATCCATCGCACACTTTCTTCTGAATCATACTTACTCAGATGTACAGGCAACAAAAAGTATTTAGAATATTTGCATAATTTCAAACACCCAGTTCATAAATTATTTATTGGTTGTGGTCAAATGAATGTTAGCTATTTCATAATTATCTTTTGTGCAAAAGGTTGCATGGTTTACAAAAATATTTCAATGGCAATTGAATATCTCTAGCTTGCCTAAACAGTGCAAAAAAATAAATGGTACTTAATTATGTAGCACTGATGTACATTTTTCTCATGTTCAAAAACTCAGAAAAATTACACTTAATTTGTACATGTATTTTAAATGAACATCAGGTATTTACAGTAAAAAACTCATAAACTACATTTTAAGATTAGGCCAAAGCATTAACAAATAACATCACAATATGTGATATAAGTCAAATAATCAGGCAACTATATGTCCTAAGACTTAGAGTCATAAATTCATAAATCCGTCGAACAAGTAGTGGCTTCAGGAATCACTGGTTTGACATCTCATTTTGAAAAAAGCTGAGAAAATCATGACCATGGAATTTTATTGCCTTACCTGTGATTCAAGTGCCAGGACTCTAACTATGGTTCTTGATCTAAACCATTTTTTTCCTGCACCACATGGGCTCTATGATTTTAAAAATCATATTCCTTTTTATTATAATGATTAAAATCTTAGGACATTCTTGAAGGCAAAATGGCCACATTTGAATTTGCTAGATAAATCACAAAGACCAATATGCTAAAGCGAAGGGGTAGGTGGTACACCTTAAAGAAACGATCTGTAAACGCAGGTTGTATCCATACAAATTTGGTTCAGAGAAAGACAACAATTCAAAATCAAAATCAAAATGAGTCTTTTGAAGGATATAATTTATATTATGTGACTAGTGGGCAGGTATTTTCTCTTTGGATGCTGGATTTTGGAGCTTTGTAAATTTTGCTTAAAGACAAGATATACTTCATGCTGAGAGAAGGAGAGATGGCAAGCTCTTACTTACGCAACAAACTTTAAAAATGCATTCAGCACCATGCTAGGTATGTGCATTAGTGGGCTAGGGCTGCCATACAAAATACCACAGACTGGTGGCTTAAGTGACAGAATTTATTATCACACAGTTCTGGAGTTAGGAAGCACAAGATCAAGGTATCAGAAAATTTGGTTTCTAATGAGGTCTCTCTTCAGCTTGCAGATAGCTGCCTTCTCGCTGTGTCCTTATGTGACCTTTTCCTCTTTTCCATTAGAGACTAGAAATCTCTAGTGTCTTTTTCTCTTCTTATAAGGACACCAGTCCTACTGGATTAGGGCCCCATTATTATGACTTCGTTTAACCTCGATTATCTCCTTAAATGCCCTCTCTCCAAATATAGGCACATAGAGGTGAGGGCTTCCACATATGAATTCTGATGGAGGGGAGGACACAGTTTAATTCATAACAGTATGGAATATAAAGACGCAGACATCATGGATCTGGATGTCGTAGTTTGATTATTAAGGTTTATATTTTCACCTTGTTGAGGAAAAAACAACCACAAATATTTTGGTAACATACAACAATAAACATTTACCTCTGTCTAATGTGTCTACAGGTCAGTTGGGACAGGTGTGCTTTACACATTTGATTTTAAAGAAGGATCAGGGATAGAGTTAGGTAGGAGAGGTACCTAGGACACAAAATTTAAGAAGGAACTCATCTCAGAGGTGTGCAAGTACAGTGATGGCATTCGCAAGACTCTGAGAGTAAGTGCCTCCTTAAATTTTGTGCCCCATGCATCTCATTTGTCTCACCCTAGTCCGGGCTCTGTTCTGGACCCCAAAGTATGGAGGCAGTAGCCACTTGGAACATTTTCTTCTCACAGTAGAAGCCAGAAGCTGCTAAAGGGGTGAGTTGAAATCCACAATGCCCCTTCAAATCTAAGCTAAAACTAGCCTTGTCACCTCCACTTACACTAAATTGGTCAAACCAAGATCATGCTAGGTATGGGAATACAAAGAAACAAGACAGAAGGCTAGGCCCAAGATTGATGAGGTGGAGAAGCATAGTTCTCCCATGGAGATGGTGCTTTCATTATCCAGTGGTGTATAACAAACCACCCCAAAGCACAGGGGCTCTAAGTAATGGTGATTTATTACTGCTTAGAATCTTGTGCTGACTGAAATCAGCTGGGCAGTGTTTTTGCTCCATGTGGTGTAGCTGCAATCATGTATATGCCTGCATTCAGCTAGGAACTCACTAGAACTAGAGCATCTAAGATGGCTTCTCATCTTCCAGGGCCTCTCACCACATGATCCTCATAATTCAGTAATTTAGCGTGAGCTTTTTCCAGTCAAGTAACTGACTTCCAACTTATCTTCCAGGAAGACAAGTCCCAAAGTGTAAGGGCTTATCAAACTTCTGCTTGCATCACACTTGGTGATGTCCCTTTGGCAAAAGAAGTCACATGCCCAATATAAGAGTCAATATGATAGAGGAATACACAGGAGCATGGATAAATCTAGTTGTGGTTCATTGGGGAACACCAATATGATGGTAAACCACAGATCACCCTTTTGTCCCTAATGATTCACATTCATTTCACTTGTAAAATATACTCCCTTTCAAGATTCCCAAAGTGTAATCACATTTTGTTACGAAACACAAGCTTGAACTTTGTTTTAGTCTCTTTGTGATGCTGTAGCAAAACACCTGAGACTAAGTAATTTATAAAGAAATGTATTTACTCACAGTTCTGGAGCTGGTAAGTTCAAGATCAGAGCTCCAGCAGGTTGGTATCTGGTGAAGACTTCAGACTCTGGTTCCAAGATGGTACCTTGAACACTGTGTCCTCACATAGCAGAAGAGACAGAAGGACAAAAAAGGCCTGAGCTAGTTCCCTCTAGCCTTTTTAAAGGCACTAATTCATTCATGAGGGCAGAGCCCTTATGATTAATCACCCGTAAAGACTCTACCTCTTAATACCATCAAAATGGGGATTAGGTTTCAACATGAATTTTGAAGTGGACACAAACATTGGAACCATCAAAAACTTCTGAATTTTACCAGTTAAATCAGGTGTTGGTACAATGAGATGTCTCAGATGTGGTGCCTTATGTGTAGCTTCTTAGATATTGTTCCTTAGGCATGACTTCTTGGATAGCAAATGTTTGAAAACTGAAAAGATAGGTTATTTGCTCCACACATACTTGATGCACAATGGGACAGGATAAGCACAGTAGAGGTTCTCGTTTAAAAAGAGGCAGAATTGAAGGCACATACTAGTATTGTCCATGGCAATACATTTAACCAATCCTATTGGGTAAATGTCTTCAGTTTCCCTTGTTTTGGGACTTTTCCTTGATTAAAATTCGATTATGCATATTGGTCATGGTTCTCCTACCCATTACTCATGGCTGCACACTTTTGACTCTTAGCTTCACCCTCTCAGCTCTTGGCTTTGCTTTCTGACTTATCTTTCCTTATCCATGAGGAATGACATATATTTGCAGCTGAAAAAAAATTTCCAGCCTGTTTCCTGTCTGCAGAAAGCTGGGGGCCCAGGTACACCTTTTAATTTTAAACATTTCTAACAAAAACTGATTCAACTCCTTTGAATACCTTATGGGTTTTCTATATTATCAAACCATAATTTACTCAGGTAGGTTGAAACTACACTCATACATCTCTTCAAGACCAGCTCATCTCTACTGGAGGCTGTCTGCTGTGGAACAACACCCTGAGAATTCTAAGATGCCATATAGGTCTTTAAATCATTACCTTAAATCTTTTGAGGTTTCAACAAAGTATATTACATCTTCATCTTTAATTTGATCTTGATCTCAAAGTCATGTTTTTTGGTGGCACTCTGGATTTTTTTTTTTTTGCCCTAAAATAGTTTCTTAATTTTTTTTTTCCACCTAGAGAAGCTGAAAATAAGAAAGATTTTCATTTTTTCACTCACGGAGTTCTGGATTGGAAATATCCTCTTTAAATTGTGCTTGGAAATCGACCAATTCTATCTTTAGTTCAACTATCTTTTACAATACCTTATCAGAAGAGGCTAAAGGAATCAATTGACATATTCAGCATTCTACCTGGAAATATCCATAAGTTTCTTAAGCATATTTTCTATATTCAAAGTTCTCACAGGCAACAATCTCATTTATCTTTCCACTAACAAAAGATTCTTCTTTCTACAAGCTTCATCCACACTTTCTTAACTGGTTTTCAAGCCTCTACCAAACAATCTCTTTGCCGCCTTCAGGTTTCTACTCATTTGCTGTTCCCAAGGTCAATGCCACGTGTTGTAGTTTTTGTTATATAGAATCCCATTTCTGGCACCAATTTCTGTATCAGTTATACATTGCTGCAGAAAAAAAAAATCCAAACCTATAGCTTAAAAAACAGTGTTTATTATTTCTCATGATTTTTTGGGTAGTTCTTTTGCTTCATATGGTATAACTGGGGTCACTCAAACATATGCTTTCAGATGAGAACTCAGTGCCAGAAAGTCTAAGATGGCTTTTCTTCCTTTTGGGTTTCTCACTGGGTGTGTAGCCCCAGTTTCTTTATGGTATGATATCTGTACGGTGGCTGCCTTTCATGGGGGTGAGTTCTGAGAGGAGACATGCCAATGTACAAATGTTTATCAAGCTTTTGTTTGTATTACAGGCAGTTTTGAACATCTGGAGGCCTGATTTATTGGAGATTGCAAATGTACAGTGTAACATAGCTGTGGAGAGGTAAGGGAGTGATTATCTGCCAATCAATAATCCCATTTAACACAATTTATGAATTATGTTGGTTTTCAAAAAGTTTTTTCTGCCGTGTTCATTTTGATCATTTTACTCCTTCTTGTCGGGAATTGGTCTACCTTATCAAAGAAGACAAAATTTTTATAATACTAAACCACCAGTCTGTGCTTAGAGGCAGGACGTCTTAGGAAATCCTTTCCTCTCCTTTCTGACATTAATACAGTCAAGGCTGTCTTCTCTTAGTTGCTTTGTGAGGCAAAGGAAAATAAAGGTGATGAAATGCTAGTCACTAATTTGTACTCAAGCAAAATATTTGGTTGAGAGAGAACTTAAAAATTTAACCACAACAAAACTTGTAAGAGTTTTTGTCTTAAAAATAACTTAATTCTCACAATGGATATCTTTGGTGCCCTCATTACATCCCCTTGGCCACATATGCTTGTGGCCACAATTGCATTTCATGGTTGGTTTCTTGTAAGCCCAGGCATAACTTCTCTCAGGATGGTGGTTTCCTATCTTAAGCACTTGGTTGGTATCTTTCAGCTTATATCCTCTGGGCTTTCTCAGCTATGCTGGCATTTCACCTGTGGCCTGAAGTGAACACTGCTAAGAAGTGTGGGGTATTTAAAAATGGAAAATAAGGCCGGGTGCGGTGGCTTACACCTGTAATTCCAGCACTTTGGGAGGCTGAGGTGGGTGGATCACGAGGTCAGGAGATTGAGTCCATTCTGGCTAACACAGTGAAACCCCATCTCTACTAAAAATACAAAAAATTAGCTGGGCGTGGTGGCAGGCGCCGGTAGTCCCAGCTGCTCGGGAGGCTGAGGCAGGAGAATGGCGTGAACCCAGGAGGCGGAGCTTGCAGTGAGCTGAGATCCCGCCACTGCACTCCAGCCTGTGAGACTCCGTCTCAAAAAAAAAAAAAAAAAAAAGGAAAATATATCACCCCTGGGGACAACTTTAAACAAAGAAATAAGAGCTGCCAACTCCTCTTCTTCAGGTGGACAATGCTGGAAGACGTTCTGTATGCTTCTTAGAGGTCTGAGCAGACTTGAGGCTTTACAGAAGTAAGGTCAATAATAAGCTCTTACATTTGCACTTTTCCTGCCTGCCTCTCCCCACTCCTTCATTCCTGCTTACTGAGATGACCTCCAAACCAAGCCACATGCTCTTACATCCTTGTCTGAGGCTCTGCTTTCAGCGGAACAAAATTAAAATATTTTCCACAAATACATAAAAAGACCAATAATTGGGTGATTTTTAATCAATTTAAATTTAATTTTTAAATTTTTAAAACAAACCTGTCCTCAATTCTGTTGCTCTCATTTTCATTATCATCATAACCATTATCATCATCTTCATAACTCATGGAAAAGTAAATAAAATACGCAAAAATATTTAAAGGTCATATGTAAAGAGTTTTATGCCAGACTTGGAGGCTTAGCAAATGGCCTTTTATTTTGGGGAAATCAGAAAATAGAAGACCTGCAAGGGACATTAGATTAAAACTTGTGTCTGACTTTGACTGGAAGAGATTAAAAAAAGGGAAACATTGCTTACATAGAAAACATTTGCCCTATTAATTGCTGTATCTACTGATGATGTATATTTATCTCGGATGCATATTTATCTGCTTGATCTACTGATGATCCTACTATTGTAGGGAAAAAATAGGGCAATTCAAAAAGGATATTTAGATACAATCATTATCTAAAGCTCTTAATCACAATAAATGTATTAAAAATTTTGAACTCCTAGGAGTGTGATGATAAAATACATGTTATAGAACTGTCTCCATTTATGTTGTAGCTAATTTTTTCACCTAATTCATACCCAGATGTTCCCAGATACATGACAACATTTGGGCCTCTTTATAGTCTTTCTCCTGATATGATATGATATTAAGGCAAAAACAGCTCTAACGTTCACATTATCTCTATTGTGGCCTATTATTAATTCAGGAAATGTGATCATATAATTAATGTATTTCTAAAACAAAGCTTCATTGTAATCTGCTTTCAGTGTCATCATAATTTCAAAACATGTTATTGAAAGGTACTATGGTATAAATGGTTAATTTTGACCAAAAAAATTCAAAATCAACCTCTGTGCTCTAATGGGAGAAGGAAGGAATTCCCAAGAGTTTTTGTTAATACGTTAAATACTACATTTCTTTTGAACTTCCCCAGTGCCTTCTTATGGTAAATAGCTACTTGAACAGAGGTATAGTTTCTATTCCTGTTAAAGTATGAGTCATATCAAAATCTAATCAAGTAAGTGAAAGGTAAAAATGTCATCACACTTCTAAAATTGCTGTCAATATTTCACACCTGTATGGAAAGCAGATAGATGTCTAAGCAGCAGCTTGATAACATTCCAAACTGCAACCTCTAATTAACTCACCTTTTGAATTATTAGCGAGACTCCACTGCGACCCATGCAGCCTTTGGCAGGGAGCCTGACAACAAAATGCATGTCTAAAATACCAAGGAGGGGGAGAAGTGCTATATTATTTGGCACAAATATTATCATCCACCTGTGAAGAGGGAATATGCTTTTCCACTTTGCTTATTATAGATGATTTACTAGTTATATGCTCTTGGCTTCATCTCCATAAATTATACTATAATCATTCAGCCTAAGGGATAATGGTAAAACTATGGTTGATATACTCAATACGGTAGGGAAAGTTAATTAAATTAGATAAAAATATTTCAATGATATTTACATGCTCTCAATATTTAGAGTCTGATACAAACCATGAAATTTGTATGGAAGAGTCTATAGAGCATACAGTTTGTATTATGAGACTAAAGCTGACTTAGACACATCTGGAACTTGGAACAGAGAAAACCCATGTCATGTAATAATTTGATAATGCAAGTATTTGAGGATTTAGTTTGTCTCTTGATAAATTAATAAGGAGGCTTCACTACAAATACAGTGTGAGAAAGTGGTGGTCACTAAAGTTCTATGAGGCTGATTATTTTAAACAGCTTAGAATGATAAAATCACTTACTTGAGGCAATGCACATCGTGTAAGTCTTTTTGTAATATTTTTTCTTCAAAAGTGGCTGGAACTAATTTTTTTTTTATTTTTCCACCAGTAGTAATTCTTTTGTTAATCTATTAAAGGAAATCTAAGAGCATCTATTGTATTGAGAAAATGTTTATTATGAGTGCTAGAGATTCAGTCATATACCAAATATTAATACTCTAGTAACAAAATGTTTTACTAGTATATATGAACATGATTAAAATGACAACCCCAGAGAAAACTAGCAAGGTGTTATTTTGATAGGTTTCTTTGAAAGGAGAAGGAGATGATGTAACCTAATATATTTTATAAGAAATGATACAAACTAAAACTATATATTCCTTTTATTCTCCCTCCCCATCCCTCCCCCACTCCTTCCCTCTCTCCTTTCTTTCTTTCCTTCCTTCCTTCCTTCTTTCCTTCCTTTCTTCCTTCCTCCCCTCTTCCTCCCCCTTCCTACCTTCCTCTCTCCCTCCCTCCCTTCATTCCTTCCTCTCTTCCTCCTTCCCTTCATTCCTTCCTCTCTTGCTCCTTTCCTCCTTTCTTCTCATCCTCCTTCCCTCCTTTCCTCCCTCCTTTCCTTTTATTGTATTATCTATATAGCAATGATAACTATTATTATGATCATTTCTTTTTCTTAAGATTTTCCATTTTAATTTTATTTATTTATTTTTATTTCAATAGTTTTTGGGGTATAAGTGGTTTTTTATTACATGACAAGTTACATGGTGTTGAATTCTGAGATTTTAGTGTACTGGTTACCCAAGTAGTGTGCATGGTACCCCATATGTAGTTTGTATCCCTCACCTCCTCCCATCCTCCCCCTTCTGAGTATTCAAAGTCCATTATACCACCCTGTATGCCTTTGCATACCCATAGCTTAACTCCCACTTATAAGTGAGAATATGAGGTATTTGATTTTCCATTCTTGAGTTACTTCACTTAGAATAATGGCTTCCAGATCTATCCAAGTTGCTGCAAAAGCATTTTTTCCTTTTTATGGCTGAGTAGTATTCCATGGTGTGTATATACCACATTTTCTCTATCTACTCGTTGGTCAGTGGGCACTCAGGTTGGTTCTGTATCTTTGCAATTGTGAATTGTGCTGCAATAAACATACAATGTGCATGAGTGTTTTTCATGTAATGGCTTCTTTTCCTTTGGGTAGATACCCAGTAGTGGGATTGCCAAATCGAATGCTGAATTGAACAGATCTACTTTTTGTTCCTTAATTAATCTCCATACTGTTTTCCATAGAGGTTGTACTAATTTACATGTCCACCAGCATCATATAAGTGTTCACTTTTCCTTATATCCATGCCAACATCTATTGTTTTTTGAGTTTTTAATAATGGCCATTGTTGCAGGAGTAAGGTGATATCTCATTGTGGTTTTAATTAGCATTTCCTTGAGGATTAGTAGGCTGTTGAGCATTTTTTCATATGTTTGTTGGCCATTTATATATCTTCCTTTGAGAAATGTCTACTCATGTCCTTTTCCCACTTTTTGATTGGATTATTTGTTCTTTTCTTGATGATTTGCTTGAGTTCCTTTTAGATTCTGGATATTAGCCCTTTGCTGGATATATAGTTTGCAAACATTTTTCTGCCATTCTGTGGGTTGTCTGTTTACTCTGCTGATTATTTCCTTTTCTGTGCAGAAGCTTTTTCATCTAATTAGGTCCCATTTATTTATTTTTGTTTTTGTTACATTTGCTTTTGGGGTTTTAGTCATGAGTTCTTTGCCTAGGCCAATGTCTAGAAGAGTTTTTCTAAGTTATCTTCTAGAATTTTTATGTTTTTCTGTCTTAGATTTAAGCTTTTGTCCTATCTTGAGTTGATTTTTGTGTAAGGTGAGAGATTGGGATCCAGTTTCATTCTTCTACATGTGGCTATTCATTTTTCCCAGCAGCATCTACAAAACAGGGTGTCCTTTCCCCAATTTCTGTTTTTGTATGCTTTATTATAGATCAGTTGCTTGTAAATATTTGGCTTTATTTCTGGGTTCTCTCTCCTGTTCCGTTGGTCTATGTGCCTACGTTTATACCAGAAGCATGCTGTTTTGGTAACTATAGGCTGGTAGTATAATTTGAAGTCCAGTAGTGTGATGCCTCCAGATTTGTTCTTTTTACTTAGGACTGCTTTGGCTGTTTGGGCTCTTTTGGCTTCATACAAATTTGGAAATTGTTTTTTCTAATTCTGTGAAACATGCTATTGGTATTTTGATAGGAATTGCATTAAACGTGTAGATTGCTTTGGATAGTATGGTCATTTTCACAATATTGAGTCTTCAAATCCATGAATATGGGATGTGTTTCCATTTATTTGTGTCATCTGTGATTTCTTTCAGCAGCGTTTTGTGGTTCTCTACTTGTAGGGATTTTTCACTTCTTGTTTCAGTATATTCCTAGGTATTTTATTTTTATTTTTTGCAGCTGTTGTAAAAGAGATTTGTATGTCCTGCCTCCTGAAAAAAAATAGAAAATCCTTTTTTGGTTATATGATGAAGGACAAAAATTGCTGAATTTGAGGGAAAGGGACAGAAATCATTATAAAAATATAGTCTGTGAGAGATGAGTTAGAAATATTCCTTTACCCATATATGATTTCAGAATTACAATATGAGAGGTTTTGTTGTTGTTATTGTTTTTGTTTTTCTAGTTCAATCACAAGGTTATATAAACACTTCTGTCCTCTGTTCTGGGACTCTCTCTTAAGAGAACCCTGCTCCTCATCTATCAAATATACAGATATGTAGTTTAAATCCATTGTTTTAGAGTGAGACTGCCTGGCTTGCTTACTTCCTGAATCTTTTTTTAATTTGCTGCATTATATACTCTTCATGGTCCCAAAATATTTCATGTAGCCTATATTTCACTATTTCTTTCTCCAGAGCAGTAGCACGTATCTACCATTTCACACTGAAAAGATTGTCACAAATTGAAAAAAAGTCTAGTATGAACATGATCAGTTAAAGAACATGATTTAGCTAATGATGTTTAAGAATATGACATCTACTTTTATGGGTAAAATAACATTATACTGCTATTAGGTCTTTCTATATTAATCTGGAAATTAAAAAGCACTAGGCTTCATTGAGATTTCCTCCTTTTTAGAAGAGGATTGACTGACTTTTCCCAAAAAGCCATATTCAGTTCTAAGTCTTAGGCCTTTAAATGGCATTATACCCATGTTATGGTTTCTAAACCAAAGAATTTCTCTTTTCTGCTAACCTCTTGAGGTCACAGTGGTGGTTTGAAGTCTAAGCAGCAATTCTGTTCAAAGAGTAACTCACAGCAGGATGTGTGCAATAAGGGTATTCGTGATTCCAGTATTCACATATATTCCATTTTGCTTTTTAGAAAGTTTGGTTCTGAGGCTACTACAAAGGCAACACTCTTGAAACATGTCATTTTCTATACCTCCCTCTACTGAAAGCCTTATATAATGACATTGGAGCTGTATTACTCAAATTTTCATTGCTACAATGTCATTTTAGAACACTCATTGGAGTCCTTGATCCTCATGTGCCCTTTGCTCTAGAGTACCTTCCATTCACCCTTGAGAAGGGGTTCAAGGGTCACTCATTGAAAGGAGCTGGCTCTTCAAGCCAAGGACCATCCCTTTAACATGGACATTTTTCTGAATAGTGGGTAGAATATAATAGGAGTTGTATTTTGTAGAATGGACTTAAGAACATGAACTCTGATTCCTGACTGCCTGGATTTGAGTCTTTTCTCTACCACTTATTCGTTGCTTGAATTTAGGCAAATTTCTTAAACTCTTTGTATGTCAGTTTCTTCATCTATACTAGCATCATAAGAGTGATGTGAGATTTAAGTTAATGTATACAATGGCCAATGTCTAACACATCACAGTGCTGTATAACTCTTATCATTATTAGTGTTGTTCTCATCAGAATATGTATCTGCCTTTCTTAGTGTTTCCCAGATATTCAATGACAAATTTATTTCCATATCTGATGAAGTTACCCAAAATCTAGGACTAGGCTTTATGCAATTGAAAAGGGAGAGGAAGAATTATTTTATTAAGATTGCTTCTACTGCTGATGTACCAGGTCAGCAAATCGTGACATAAAATATAGATTTTTTAAAACTTAAGAAGTGTAACGGATATTTTTTTAAAGTTTAGCAAACATATATTGTGTTCACTGTGTACAGGACTACTGCTATTGCAGGGGAGGCAGACAAAGATGACTCAGATAGGAATTGTTGTCAGTGAACTTACAGAAAAGTAGGAAGGTATAATGTATAAAAGGAACAATAATATGAAGGGAAAATTATGAATGCCTTCAGAAATAATTCATTTTTTTTCCTGTGGATTTAGAAAAGTGAGAGTGAGTAAAGGGCATGTTTGAAGTGTGGGATTTCTTAGAGAAAGTGGCATTTAAGTAGTCCAGGCTGAATACAATTCCTACATATGGAGAAAAAGAACTGTGGTCATGAGGAAGACTGCTGGAACAGTGGCTGGAAATATGAACTATGTACTTAGACCATCAGCTCAGCTTGCTTGAGCCAAGAATCTCTGATGAGAAATAAGTTTGAAGTGGTAAGCCAGAATTAGATCATGAATTGATCTGAATGTTAGGGTAAAGATTTTTTGTTTTGTTTTGTTTTGATCAACATTAAGTTGTATACGACCAAGTATGAAGCAAGGTATAACAATGAAAATTAGCACCTTTGCTTTTAAGAATCCTACAGTCAAGAGGCAGGATTAAAAATATACACCAAATAGGCCGGGCGCGGTGGCTCACGCCTGTAATCCCAGCACTTTGGGAGGCCAAGGTGGGTGGATCACGAGGTCAGGAAATCAAGACCATCCTGGCTAACACGGTGAAACCCCATCTCTACTAAAAATACAAAAAATTAGCCAGGCGTGGTGGCAGGTACCTGTAGTCCCAGCTACTCCGGAGGCTGAGGCAGGAGAATGGCGTGAACCCGGGAGACGGAGCTTGCAGTGACCCGAGATCGCTACACGACACTCCAGCCTGGGCAACAGAGCAAGACTGCGTCTCAAAAAAAAAAAAATTATATACACAAACACACACACACACACACACATATATATATACCCATATATGTAATACATATGTATATGTATATATGTATGTGTATATATATACACCAAATCATTCTTGGTCACTGACTCTCCCAATATCAATAGACAGGAGCAGCCCTGGCAATGCCAGATGCTTCCATGAGGCTGGAGAGAGAATTAGTTGTAATAGCCATATCCCTAAGGTCAGCTGCTCATCCTTGGCTTTTTGATTGGCTGTATCCTCTGAAGCCTTCGTGATTTCCCATCTTTCTCTTTCAAACCGAATGTGTCAAAGCCTTAGCATTGTCCTAAATGTGGATTTTTTCTTGACTCTGCCTTGTACCTTTGAAGTTACACCCTAGTACCGTTTGTGTGTGGCTTATTGTTCTTGGATGCCATCAACAGCACAGCTACCTCACAACTTGGGTTACATTTATGATGGTCCATCCCTCCAATAGAGACCACACTTGGGTTTACTTATTTGGATGAGGATATGTTTTCCATTCAGTCATTTCTCTTTCTCTTAAGATTTTTGTATGGCTTCTTCAGGAAAATAATTTCAGCATCATAGGGAAAATGGACAGAAGGAAATAGTCTAGAATAAGGTAAACCTGTTAGAAACTCTTGAAGAAAGTCAGGGGGAACTGACCTGGGATTGAACCAGGGTGTAAATGGCAGAGGAAGAGGAATGATGGAAAGGAGAGAATAGATGCTAGAGATGTTGCAAAGGAAAGGGTAACAACCAGTGCAACCGGTTGCCAGGATTCAGCAACAAGTTGTGTAGAAAAAGGGAGGGTGAAGGTGATTTTGAACTAGAGTAACCAAAATATGCAGGGTGGAAGGTTTTGCTATTAACAGAATAAGGAAAATAGAAAACAGTATAGTTTTGGGGGAAAAAAAGTTCAGTTTTGAACATATTGAGAAATCTGATGAATAACCAGATGAAGATCACTATTAAGCATTTGGAAATGAGGATCTGTAACTTCAGAGGGAGCCAGCCTGGAAATATGTATTTGAGAATTATTTGAGGTATTAGTTCATGCTGAGATTAAATGATTGCCAAGAAGGTAATTTTCCAAGGAATGAGTTATTTGGCGAATATGATGAAATTAGGAAATAGGAGGATAAAGGTGAGAGAGATAAAGAAGAGAGAGAGAGAGAGAGAGAGTGAGAGTAACACAAAAGTTAGAAGGAGAAATAACAAGGGCACATCCAACTTAGTGATAATGAAAAGTTCATTAATACATTTTATTAGGCAAAGTTCTCCAAAGAACAGAATCAATTGTATATGTATATAGATATATATAGAATATATCTCTATCTATCTATCTATCTATCTATCTATCTATCTATCTATCTATCTATCTATCATCTATCTACATATTCCTATAAAGAATTGGCTTACATAATTATGGATGCTGACAAGTCCAAACTCTGTAGGGTGAGCTGGCAGGATGGAGACCCAGGAGAGTCAATGTTCCAGTTTGAATCCAAAGGCCATTTGCTATAGAACCAGGAAGGGCCAGTGATGTAGATACAGTCTGAAGGCAGCTTGCTGGAGAATTATCTCCTGTCTAGAGGGGATTCTGGTCTTTTTGTTCTATTCTGGTTTCCAGCTGCTTCGGTGAGGCCCGCTCACATCATGGAGAGCAATCTGCTTTACTCAAAGTTCACTGATTTAAATGTTAGTCACATCCAAAAACACCCTCACAAAAATACTTAGAATAATATCTGGGCAAATATCTGGCATTCCATGGGCCATCCATGTTTATACATAAAATTAATCACCAGAAGCTCACTTCTGTCAATTGGCCCCCATACACATCTCCTTATATCATAATTAATCTTCAAATGAAAACAATAACAAGGTTATACCTCTGCCTGACACGATACGACTATCCAGCATACAACCAAAAATGCACTAACTTTTTCCCCAGAAGAGAATACAAAGTTCTTGACTATTGTTTGCTCTTCTCCTTGATATCCTGTAACTTAAATACCATGATACAAAGTCAATACATTTTATGTTACATGGTATTAATACACACACACACACACACACACACACACACGTTTATAACAAACTGAGGAGGGAATACTAATGCCAATTACATTTATCCTTCCTGTAACAGGTCATGTGGTCATAGCTGGTATGTATAACTACTTTCTTCCATTCTGTATTCCCTTTGCCTTCAGCAAGCATCTCAGCTGGCTGTGGCTTTTTAACCTGGTGGAGTTACCCAAACCTTCATTCCTGAAGGGTCTGGGCCATGCCTAGTACTGCCTGAATTGTGTTGTGGTTTTCCATTGACCTTAACCACAGGGAATAATAATACTAAGAAATGGCCTAAGGGATTTCCTGTATTCCAAACATACTTTTTCTTACTTCCATTATGGAATAACAGTTCAATTTCTCCTTGGTAGTCAGGATCAGTCACCACAGATAGCACAATAACTCCCTCCTTTGCTTCAGGTGTAAGGAGTCTAAAGTGGATAGGTGGCAATCCAGTTCAATTGAATCATCATTTCATCTCTTGGTGGAAGCATTCCTCCTTTTGGAACCAAACTGTCTAGGCTAGCAGAGCCTAAGGTTGCAGGGACAGGAGGAAAACTTTCTGCTAGTAAATCACTAGGATGAAGAACTAAGAACTCTTGGTCAGCAGAGTCAAAGATTGCAGGGATAGAAGAAAAAAATTGCTTGTAGATAGCAAAAAAAAAAAAAAAATTAACAGTGTATCAATAGTGAGTGGCCCTACTTTTATTTCCATCTCTTGATCCTTGGACCCATTAATTCTGGCTATGCGAGAAACCGCATCATATATTGGATGTTGATTCAGACCACATACAGCCCCATGGAGCTGCAGCTGATACTTCAAAAGGTCATTCCACTGTTTTATCAAGCCAGCTTCTTCAGGACAGTGGGGAAGATGGTGAGTGACTGAATTCCATGATCATGAGCTCATTGCTTCACTTCATTTCTGTGAAGTGAGTTCCTTGATTAGAGGTAATGCTGTATGGAATACCATTGTGGTACATAAGACATTCTAGTCCACAGCTGGCAGTTTTTGCAGAAACATTGTATTCAGGGAATTAAAATTCATATCCAGGGTCTATTCCACAAGACAAAAGGCTGCCTGTTCCGTGATGGAAGTGGTCCAACGCCTTTAACCTGCAACCAGGTAGCTGGTTGATCATTCTGAGAAAAAGCACCATATTGAGAAGTGTTGGTTTCTGCTACTCTCATGATGTACACCTTCAAACACTTTTAGACATTTTTGAAATTTTGAAATGCTGATGTGATACACCGTCTTAAATTTCATCTTGGAAACCCTGCTTGCAAACCCATATTGTTCCCAGAGGAATCATTTTCTCTCCAATTTTTAGTTAGACAACGAGGAAAACTTATTAATACTTTCAGGTCATCAGATTGCTTAATATCCTTCACCATAATTAGTAATTCTTAAAAAGTTATATATAATTGCAAAGGAAAGGAAAGTACTATAGGGAAGTCCCAACTAGAGCAGTCAGACAAGAGAAAGAAATAAAGGGCATCCAAATTGGAAAAGGAGGAAGTGAAATTGTTTGCAGATGATGTGATCTTATACTTGGAAAAACCAAAATGTTCCACTGAAAGAACTATTAGGACTGATAAATAAATTCAGTAAAGTTGCAGTATACAAAAATCAACAGAGAAAAATCAGTAGCATCTCTATATTGCCAACAGTAAACAATCTGAAATAGAAATCAAGAAAGTAATTCCACTTATAATAGTTACAAATAAAATACCTAGGCATTACCTTAAACAGAGAAGCAAAAAGCTCTATAATAGGAATCATAAAACATCGATTCAAGAAATTGAAGAGGACACACAAAAAATGGAAAGATATTCCATGTTTGTGGATTGGAAGAATAAATATTGTTAAAATGTTCGTATCATCCAAAGCAATCTACAGATTTAATGCAATCCCTATGAAAATACCAATGTCATTCTTCACAGAAATAGAAAATCTTAAAGTTTATATGGGACCACAGAAGACCAGAGTAGCCATAGCAATCGTAAGAAAAAGAACAAAATGGGAGGAATCATATTACCTGACTTTAAATTATAAAACAGAGCTACAGTAACCAAAAATGTGTGGTAGTGGTATAAAGACACATAGATAAGTGGAATGGAACAGAGAACCCCGAGATAAATCCATACATCTACAGCGAAATCATTTTTGACAAAGGTGCCAAGAATAAACATTGGGGAAATGATAATCTCTTCATATGGATATCCATATGAAGAAGAATGAAACTAGACCCCTACTTCTCACCATATACAAAAATCAATCAAAGTGGATTTAAGACTTAAATCTAGGACTGTAAACTATGAAACTACTACCAGAAAACATTGGGGAAAATCTGTAGGACTTTGGACTGGGCAAGGATTTCTTGAGTAATTCCCCACAAACATAGGCAACCAAAGCAAAAATGGAGAAATGGGATCACATCACATTTTTAACCTATTCAGGTTAAAAAGCTTCTGCACAGCAAAGGAAACAATTACCACAGTGAAGAGAAAACCCACAGAACAAGAGAACATATCTGCAAACTACTCATTTGACAAGAGATTAATAACTAAAATATATAAGGAGATCCAACAACTCTGTATGAAAATATCTAATACTCCAATTAAAAATTGCTGAAAGAGGTCGGGCACTGTGGCTCATGCCTGTAATCCCAGCACTTTGTGAGGCCAAGGCGGGCAGATCACTTGAGGTCACGAGACCAGCCTAGCCAACATGGTGAAACCCTGTCTACTAAAAATAAAAAAATTAGCCAGGTGTGATGGTGCATGCCTGTAGTTCCAGCTACTGAGGAGGCTGAGGCAGGAGAATTGCTTGAACCAGGGAGGCAGAGGTTGCAGTGAGCCATGATGGTGCCACTGCACTCCAGCTCGGTGACTGAGTGAGACTTTGTCTAAATAAATAAAGAAATATTGCCAAAAGATTTGAATAGACATTCCTCAAAAGAAGACATACAATTGTCATATAGTAATATGAAAAGGTGCTCAACATCATAATCATCAGAAAAATGGAAATCAAAACTACAGTAAGATATCATCTTCCCCTAGTTAAAATGGCTTATATCTAAAAGTCAGGCAATGACAAATACTGGCAAGGATGTAGAGTAAAGGGAACCCTTGTACACTGTTGATGGGAATGTAAACTAGTACAACCTCTGTGGAAAACAGTTTGGAGGTTCCTCAAAAAGCTAAAAACAGAGCTACCATATGAGCCAGCAATCTCACTGCTGGGTATATACCCAAAATGAAGGAAATTAATATATTAAAGAGATATCAGTGCATTAAAGAGAATCACTTCCATGTTTGTTGCAGCTCTGCTCACTATTGTGAACTATTCCAAGATTTGGAAGCAACTTAAGTGTCCATCAACAAGTGAATGTATAAAGAAAATGTGGTACATTTGTACAATGGAGCACTATTCAGTCATGAAAAAGAAAGATTTTGTCGTTTGCAACAACATACATAGAACTGGAGCTCATTATGTCAGGTGAAATAAGCCAGGCACAGAGAGACAAACTTCACATGTTCTCACTTATTTGTGAGCTCTAAAAGAAAAATAATTGAACTCATGGAGATAGAGAATAGAAGGATGGTTGTCAGAGGCTGAGAAAGGTGGGGAGGGGATGGATAGTGGGTATAAAAAAATAGAAAGAATGAATAAGACCTAGTATTTACTAGTACAACAGGATCACATTAGTCAAAAATAATGTAATTATACATTTTAAAATAACTTGAAGAGTATAAGTGGCTTGTTTGTAACACAAGGGATAAATGCTTGAGGTGATGGATATTCCATTTACCCTGATATGATGATTACACATTGCATGCCTGTATCAAAATATCTTATGTAGCCCATAAATATATATGCCTACTGTGTATCCATGAAAATAAAAAAATAAAAAGATAGCATTCTAGGCAAAAGAATAGAAGTTTTAATGGCTTATTTTGTTGTGTCCTCCTTGACACTCTATAAACAATAAACAATTCAGTTACTTTTCTCAAGCCGAAATTTCATTTGGGACATTTTGAACACTGGGGCATGAAGGATATGTATATTCAAATTTATGTAAAATGTCTATACACTAATAATGGAAACCAGGATAGAGTGCTACTATGACAATAACAATTGGATCCTGCCAGTGTCCTCAGCCAGGTGATATTTCAAGTATAGTTTTTGAATAACTGTTTACACAGGAGTTTGCTTAAGCAGTACCATGAGTTTGTATAAGATATGCAACACAAGTAACTTTGCACATTTAAAATTTAAAGGGACCTGGAGATTTATTGATCACTGGTGGCTTTTAATTAGATGGCATGAATAGAAGGGAAAGATTAAAAATCTTAGAAAGCACTCAAAATACTTGAAAAAAAATCTAAAATAAAACCCACAAATATTTCCTCACTCTTTCAGGTAGCAATAAAACTATAAGTCATCTAGACCTTTGTGGAAAGTAGGTAAAATTTCCTAGCATTTTAAAAAACTATTTGTGAAGGAAAAAGAGCAAAAAAGAACAGGGCATGAAAATTCTTCTAAAGACATAAACGTATACCTCATACCTCCTGTCACTCCCACCATTTCCCTTCTGAAGCAGAACAGTCTGGATAATGTTTTCAAGTATGAATTCTTTTCACCAGTCCCTTTCCTACACCATGTTCTGTTTCAATTTTGAAACTTATTTGAGTCAGAGCTGGAAATGACTGTAATTAATTCATATATCATATAAAAGAGAGCACAAGAAAATTAAAAATGGCCCCACCCAAGAGAATATTTAAAGCATCTCTTCCTGGAGACTTTCAGGGAATTTTGGAGAATGACTGGGAACAGCTCTTATTCAGTATCCCTCATGAGATGTATGAGCTCTTCCTCCTTTACCCCAACAGCTCTTCTTCATATGTTGTAGAGTAAGAGTCCTCCTAGAGTGATAACCTTAAACAAACTCCTAAAGGCTACTTAAGGATAAGTGACACTTTCAGCAAACATCAAAGCTAGATTCCAAGGAAGTCTCGACTTTAAGCTGTCTTAAAGCAAATTGTAAATTTTACTGACACTTGTGTTCACAATTAAAAAGAAAAGAAAAAAATATACGTATATATATTTCTATGGCCTGACGTGGTGGCTCACACCTGTAATCCCAGCACTTTGGGAGGCCAAGGTGGGCGGATCATGAGGTCAGGAGTTCAAGACCAGCCTGACCAATATAGTGAAATCCCGTCTCTCCTAAAAATACAAAAACTAGCTAGGCGTGGTGGCACATGCCTGTAGTCCCAGCTACTTGGGAGGCTGAGGCAGGAGAATCACTTGAACCCAGGAAGCAGAGGTTGCAGTGAGCCAAGATTGCGCCACTGCACTCCAGCCTGAGCGAAAGAGCAAGACTCTGTCTCAAAAAAAAAAAAAAAAAGAAAAAGAAAAAGAAAAGATATTTCTATCAGACCAATGTGTTTATTGAAATCATCTCTAATGACATGCAGACACTGTTTACT
Source organism: Homo sapiens (assembly GCF_000001405.40). Taxonomy (NCBI): domain Eukaryota; kingdom Metazoa; phylum Chordata; class Mammalia; order Primates; family Hominidae; genus Homo; species Homo sapiens. Next base: position 89,110,685 of record NC_000005.10, read on the forward strand.
TTTTCTTGTTCCCAACCTCTCTGACTTTTAAAAGCTAGTGAAAGTGTTTTCATAGAAATGTTATTTAATCACTAGGAAAAAATTGTACCAAGATAAGTAAAACGACTATACAACTGTGATTCAAAGCTTCAGAAAAGCATTTAGTGTTGTTTAATACACTGTTTAAATGTATTAAATTAATATTGCTTGGCATTTTAGATATTTGCTCATCTTTTGGATTCCCAAAAGTATTTGAAATTAGAAAATTATTTAAAATAGAACTAATTTTGAAAATGTTGTATTGCTATTGACCAACTAGATTATGTAATAATTATATACTCATGTATATTACTTAATTTGGTTTCTGAGAAAAATAATTTGAGGATGAGGTTAGTAACTATTTATATGGCAACTGCTATGTGCCAGGTGCCAGGCTTTGTTCTAAAAGCTCTGTATACGCTGACTGATTTCCTCATCCCAGGACGAGTATTATGCCCAATTTACAGATGAGGAAATGGAAAGTTATGTAGCTTTCCAGTGGTCACTGGTAGAGCTGAGTCTTTAATGACTTCTTAATTTGATCCTTGTGGGGCATCTCTGACCTCAATAACTGGTCTACTTATACTGATTTTTGAGGGTAGAAAAAGAAGAAATTTAACTAACATTAAAAAATTGGCCAAAGATCTAGGTGTTCTTCTTTGTCAAAACAAAAAAATGTTGAAAAGTCTTACATGAGTTTTGGTGACTCATTCAAGCCACAGATGTCCAGATCCCAATACCTCCATTGACTCAAGCCAGTTGTCACACTCAACCCCACTAAATGTTTGTTCACAGCTCTACTTTCTCATTTCTCCTGTCACAAAGGGGTAAGGAACGAATTGAAGGAGCCTGTCAGCATTTACCCTCCCACTTGTCATTTTTGGCTAGGCCACGCTTTAACCAATTTTCATCTGCACTTTGAGCAAACCTCAAACTGCAGTCATGTCTTTTAAAACTTTGGGACATTGTTTCTCTGACCAAATTAGCTATATGTTGAAGCAGTATGATGACTATAGACAAAGGAAGTTGGTAAGGGAGTTATAAATAGTAACTAATTCCTAATGCCTTGTAGGAATTTGGTAGCAGAAAGTAAATAAAAACATTTTCGACTGTTCTATGTCACCACTTTTATTTTTTTGAAGATATGCTTAATATTCCTTCTTGAATGCCTGCCTGAAAATTACTATTCAGTTTGAGAAAACTAAGGAATCCGTGTCAATTAGAGAGTTTGCTAATTGAGAGCCTCTAATTAAAGAGCCTACCTACATTGAGAATATAGATAGAACTAAAATTCAAATGGTGACACTCCAGTGACGCTTTCTAGAGCTGAACCAAGTTCTGGTACATGGATTTTTAGAGAAATGGATTAACTCAAGGGTCAAACTTCCCTTAGACATATATCTCAAAATTCTTCTAGGAAATGAAAAGTTCAAGTCCAATTCAAGTTTAAATTATTTATATATTAAGTAATTAAATATGCAGTCTATAATGTAGAATAGAAAGGTGTTCATTCACATTGCTCATTTTAAAATTCAGTTTCTGAATAGGAATATACTTTCCTTTTCTATGCCTAGAAAGAAGCATTACAACAAATGTGTATGATGAACCACAAGTTTCTTAAATAAAATGTGCTCACAGATTTTTTCGTCTGCCATTATTTTATATTTTGATACAAGTTCATTTACAGGACTCTTACCATTCCTAAGAATTCAATGTCTTGCTATATTCCTTTCACATAAACACAAGCACTTTGTTAAAAAATACATACCAAATATTAAAAGATAGATGGTCTTGGAACAATTTCATATCACACCGGATTGCAAAACAAATGAGTCCTTGTATCAAGGTACATTGGTAATTTCTGGATATGAATAACATTAAAAAGAATGAGTTTATTGAGGAGGCAGAACCATTGAATTCTCAAGGCTGGGTGTATACTCGCTTCAATGTTAATGGCACTTGTGTTTTCACACTTTTGGAGAAACAGACTTCTGTTCATTTGTTGCTTTTTGTATGGAATTCCTTATACCAATAAATTTTAAAATGTTTTTTATTATGTTTAGTGTAACATAATTTTTAAATGGATACTCTTTTGTTATCTAAAGCACCATATAGATAGTTTTTCTGATAACGAGGAGCACAATTTACATGTTAAAAACTATGTTGATAAATTTAACACTGAAAAAAGAATAACCAAAATAGAGCAGACTTTACTTTTTGATTGCAATGATTTTGTGTTTGCCTTCCAAAAAGAAAAACAACAGGGACAAACAGTAATGTTTAATGTTTGGAAACTGCCAAAGCAGTCATATAATTTCATTGTTATACCTAGTCCAGAAAAACGCAAGTGTACAGAAAATGATTCTCCCATTAAAGGACATTTTACCTCTATCTTTACTTAGATTCAGAATATCTAAGTAATATAGCTCTAGACAGCTTCAGCCTCTACTAATGCTCAAAAGAAACTGCCTAATAAATATATTTGCAGCACATAAGCTCGTATGGTAGCTTACCATAGTTATGTTCTATTTCTTGGATATGAAGCCGTTGAAATGGAAAGTATTAAGGCCTTTCCAAAGGGAACTATTTTTGATAGTTTATTACTTGCCTTGAGCTTACAGTTGTAAGGTTCTGACTTTATTAATTCATACATACTGTATTATTCCCAAAATGTTTAAATTTGCTTTTAGGGTCAGTTGCTCTGTTATCAGTAGTCTCTTATGAAGAATGCCAGATTTCTATGAAATGAAAACCAATGCTTAAAGTAACGTTATAAAACAGTAATTTGAGAGCAATTAGTTCTTGAGCATCATAAGAAATATATATATGTTACCAATTTCTCTCGAAGAGGAGTTTTCTTCCTTCTTCTTGATTACCTACATTTTAAATATACTTTTTTGAAATAATATTTAGGAATTATAAGGGATATTTCTAAATTTTATATTTTAAAATTTCAGAATATTTTTAAAACTCATAAATACTAATGCAACATAGTAAAATTTGAATTATAAATATTTCCAATTTGTATTAAAAAGTTGGTGGAGAAAGATCTTTTAGGTCCACCAATATTAAAATTTCTTTGTCTTAATACACAACTTTTATGACTCTTCCATAATTGCACTACAATTAGATTTTAATTCAACGTAGAAGTCTAGATGATATGAATTTTTTAAAATAGAGGATACAAGAGGATTAAATTGGTTCTTTTTACAAGTAATTGTTAACAGACATTGTTGGAGGTAAAGAGAATTCTTTTTGCTATAACAAAATACCTTTAAATTTAACTATATAAAATAGGAAACATTGGGCATCAGAAAAGATAGTTTTACAAAGGATTGATCAAGTTGATAGTCTACTAATGGATTTTACTGAGATAGTGCTCCTTAAACACTGTTTTCTGAGAATGTGGGGTTATATTTTCCATTGATAGTGATAGGAATTGATGGATAAATAGAATACATTATGAATCTGAAATCAATGTACAATGGAATGGCAATTAAAAAAATAGCTATCATATACCCTACGTAATCAAGCCTTAGCTGAGGCCATGATTTCAAAATATTTTTTAACCTTTTCTGAAGACAATTATAAACATATATTGTGGCATAATTAAATTTCAGTTTAACAAATTCATCAGTCATTTTGGTATTATGATAAGAATTATAAATCTCATAGCTTCGTGCAAAAATTATTCATCAGTCCTATAAAGCAATTGGTATTAAAGAGTTGGTATTAAAGGCGACCTTTGAAACATTAATACCTATTCTGCTTGATTTTCACCCTTTGTAAATTCTTATAACCAATTTGTAGAAATATGTGGAAAACATTTGTAATATGAAATCAACTATTAATTATTTAGAGAATGGTATCCAATTTGTGAAATATCTAGTAACTACCTTCTGGTTGGCCACTGTGTTGCCATTTTATCATCTTACAAATACCTATCAGAGAGAAAGCAAACCAAAGTAAACCAAATAAACCAAAAATAAAGCAAACCCAAACCTGCTTAGTTTTGTTGGTATTTAATTGTTTTAAGAAAAATTTGATTTGGAAAGATGGAAATTGAGATTTTGACTTAATAACTGGATTTTAATTTTATCCGGCTTTTGTTGATATTATGGAGGTGGTGTAAGAAGTGATTTATGGCTGTGTATGGATGTGTGTGTGTGTGTGTGTGTGTGTGTGTGTGTATGTATGTAACTGAAAACACTGCCACGCAAATAAAGCTGAAATAGGAAAAATAATAGAGCATAAGCAAATACTTTTCCCAAAATTAACACATTAAATCTGATCAGCAACCACAGTGATGGAAAGAGGCCATTGCTATTCTCGACTAGTAAGGAAAAGAAACCAAACCAAGGAGATAGGGTTTATTGCCAAATATAAAACTAATTTTAAGACAAAATGCTAGTAAAATTATGCCAAACAGTTTTTTAAAAGAAAATTGAATATTGACTAGAATTTTAAGTGGTGTTTTGTTTAATGAAATCTCAGTGTTAATAAGTTTCTTTTTTAAACAAAAACAAAAACAAAACAAAAAACAAACAAAAGACAGCAAGATCTTTTGAGTTTGGTTTCCTACCAGGTTAGCCTTGAGAGACAGGTTGGCCATAGGGGCTTAACTGTTCTAGCCTCCATCTTTGTGATGTAATTGTTTTGAGTCTCTAGGAGAATATGTGAGAAATACAGGAGAGCAGATCTATAAAGTACACTTTGTTCTCTCCAGTGGATCCTTAAGGTTTCATGATTTCACCTCTTCATTATCACTTGTTTGACTTTATCATCAAGATTAATTTGTTCTTCCAAATGGATTATTCAAGTTTATTTTAAAAATCTGTGTATTTTCCTTTTCTGTAGATTCTCCAAAATAGCTATAAGAGAAGGGCCACTAAAAGGCTTCAATTTTGCTGAATTGTTGGCATCTGAGTTATGTGACTTATTTGCACAGGGAAATATGTTGGGTTTTCAGGAGAATTCATGGCTTGTCTTTTTTTTTAACTGCCTAGTAAGACTTGCAATGTGACATTTGACTTTGAAAAAAGATACTGCACTAACAATTTTAAATTGATTAGTATGTACACAGCTACTTCTAATTTTTTGGACAAAAGAAAGGAGTACAATCTTTGGCTTTGAAATCATACTATTTGAAGTGATACATTTAGACTTGATACAAAATACAGAAATGTTTTTAATTCCATACTTCTCTAAACTGCTTGGACCAAAATATATTGTTCTTTTTTTTTTTAATTGATTATCTATAGAGTGAGTGGGGAGAATATGACATTGTGGCTAATTATTCATTAGCTGTCTTATTTTTTCCTGGAAAATTCTATGTATGACAGGAACTAATAATTAAAAAATAAAATTCGAAGTAAATAGAAGAAAAGATTAATTTGTTTTGTGCCACATATGGGCATAGTTGTGGGTTACTGTTGTAGGGACACAGCTCTTGAAAAATGTATTCATTGTTCCTCAATATTTTAATTGGATTATTTATATTTATTTACATAAATAAAAAATTACCCTTTTATAAAAAAATTCATAGCAAAATATGATAATACCATTGTTCAACTTTTGTAAAACAGAATTATGCTATATAACTGTTTCAGTTACAAGTCTAATTTATAAATCTCTCTGAAATATTTATGTTACTTAATGAATAGATCACAGAAAGGTTTCCTAAAACATTTCCCATTGATTTTTAACCTAAGTTACTTCATATTTTATTTTGGGTGGTCTCCAATTACAAATTCATTTGTAAGTTGTTGTTTTGTAAAACAATTTAATCCTGGCATGTAACTTAATTCAGAATTCAATCAGGCTGATTCTATAATATGTTAAAGAGAAAGTACACCGATATGACAAATATGACTTTTACAGAAAAAATTTAGGATCTGTCCTTGGAAGGAACTCTACTGCTTTATAGGTGTAGAAAGTGAGAGCTGACAAGAAATTCCTCTGGATCTTAGGAAAACAAACGAACCATAAAAAGTATTATACTTATAACTATTATGTATCATTCCGACAATTTAGTACAGCATTATAAGAAAGATGACATATCAGCCAATCTCATTTTTAATCCAATTATATTTAAGAAAGCAGAGCACATACATATAGCTGTACAGCAAGCAGTAAAAAGGAGAGAACTGTGTTTCTCTCATGCACACACATATTTGAATGGACATAAACATGGGAATAATAGGCACCATGGGCTACTAGACTGGGGAGGGAGGGTGGGTATGGGTTGAAAAACTACCTATTGTTTACTATATTCATTACTTGGGTGATAGGATCTGGACCCCAAACCTCAGCATGACCCAATATACCAAGCCTGTATATGTACCCTTTTATCTAAAATAAAAGTTGAATTGTTTTTTAAAAGAAAGGAAGAAAAGCCTCATGGTAATTTTAGTTTGCTGATCATAGTTTTAACTATGAGTAGTGGAAGGGTGTGGAGCCTGGGGGTGGATCACATCTTGTGGTTGTCTTTACCACAGTCAGCTCAGGGGGCAGGGACTGGGAGGGCAGGATGGTACATAGACCCTGGAAGCTAGCCAGCCATGGCCATTAATTAACTTGAATGACTACATTTCAGAATTTGTGAGGTACAAAGTACTTTAAGTTTCTGAGAAAATGAAGACTTTAAAATCTTCTACAGTTTTCCAATCTGCTCATTAAGTATTCACATTTATAGGCAGTTCAACCCTATCTGTGAAAGAGAAAAATTTTCTAAATATTGAAAAGTGGCTTGGTGTTAGTGAAACTATAATACACAGTAAAGACCACAGTGTGAATAGTTTAAAGTGACCAAAAAGAGAATCGAAAGAATTGAACCCCTGACCTTAACCAGATTGAGTAGATATTATCTCATAAGAAAGGAAATGAATTTGCAGATGACTTCCCAATATACTGGATTACAGAGTGTCTCACAAATCCCTTACTCAGGTAAAAGAGTGATCGTGGTGACTGACAATAATGTTCCTCATTTGAAGGAAGGTCTCCCTGAGTTGAAAACAAAATCATCTGGCAAAATAGGGTGATAGTCTTATTTTAAGACAACAGAATTCAGTGTGATACTTCTGTTAAAAAAAATTGTAGAATGCACTTAATACCTCAAATTGAATGAATTGCATGGTAATAATTATCTCTCTATGTATTCTAGCCAGTTAGTGAAAATGATTCCTTTATAGACAGGCTAATTGGATTATACATAGAACAATTCAAGATATCTAAAACTATTAGGCTATCGATCAATTGATATGACTCCTGATACTTGAAATAAGTAAAATTGCCAAAGTCAAAGCCAAAGCCATTTTGGCTGCTTCTCCAACTGTGAAAGTCATTAAAATAAAATTATCTCAAGACCCAATTACTTCATGGATGTATTTTAATGGTTATTGTTTTGTTAATCATTTTATTGCAATTAAAAGCTTGCTAAATAGTTCTTTTTAAGTGTCCCAACATTTTTCTTAAACTTGGGTGATTCTGCAATGGAGGTTTTTTGTAGATCAGTGCCTAATCTGTCCACTTTTTATCCTATACATCAATATCATTGTGGAAAAAAAGATTCTATTTTTTCTTGGTTTAGATGGAAAATTTAAATACCAATGTCAGATGACAAAACACTTAATCAATAGGCAGTTTATGTCTTTACAGTGAAAGAAATCCCAGGGCAAAATAAAGGAAAATGGGGGACTATTTTGAAACCTTGAGGGTAATAGCCAGCTAACAATGGTTGGAGTTAAAGCTTGGTCGTGGTAAAACATGCTTCTAGGTGCCATGTTCCAGGAAAGGTGGAGAGATAGTTGGTGTGAGATAGGCAAAGAGGGTGTGAATTTCAAAGACTAGCTTTCTTATGAACAAAAACATCGTAGTTCTCAAACATAGATTTCATCTTTTATTTATTCAATAAACTTTCATTGAACATTTACTACATACCAAGAAATTCATATGTGATACAACCCAAAGGTGATTTAGACAGATATGTGACTTTAAAGAACTCTTCCTCCTGAAAGGAAATAAACAGTCATGTGCAATGCAATAAATATGATAGTAGGAATATGAACAAAGTAGTAATTTATCAAATAGAGCTGTTTTCAGGATGCATACGGCATCGAAAATCCTTAACAAGAAAAATGTATTTTCCCTGATTGAAAAAAGAGTGTCACTATGTATTGGTAGTTATATTTCACAGGGAGTAAGAGTGTGGGAATTTTCAGGGAAGTGGATGGAGTGGGAATTTTCAGGGAAGTGGATGTATTTTAGGCAACATATAAGGTAGAAAAGTGCATTGTACATCTCCAGAGAAGGAAGGGAATGGGGGAAATGGGGAAGATGGGAGGGGAGTCCAGGAAGATGTGAGTCTGAAAGGCTGGGTCACTAAGGGCATTGTTCCTTATTTCTAAGGAGATTCAGATTGGTACTATAGGCAAGTGGAAATCATTGGAGAATTTTAACTTTGAGTGCATGGTCAGAATTTTGTTCTGGGAAAATCATTCCTACGGCAATTAGAAGATGAGTGGAGGCTGGTAACAGGGAATTAGGAGGTTATGACAGATGATGAGAGTCTTTACCTGGGAAGATGAAGAGGAATTGGAAATAGATGAAAAGTTAAGAGTAAAATGATGGTGATGAATGAAAAGATTTAACTAGCACTTATAGGGTAGCATTGAGAGTAGGGATATGAGAGGATCTTAAGGTTTTTAGCAAGGGAACTGGATGGGTAATAGTAACTAACTTCTCAGTGTTTATGTACAAACAGCAAATCTATTCAGATGTGTATACCCCCTTGTTTTCTGTAAAAATATAGCCAGGGTTATATCTTCAGATAGTCTGTGGCAGTATGTATTCTTGGGGAAATTTACTCTGATATATATTTGGAGGACAGTTGTCAAAATAAAAATATCAGGCAACTTACACTGTAACACTATAATTTATCAACTTTCTTCAATCTGTAAATCAACTTCCTCTCTGTCTCTCTCTCTCTCTCTCCCTCTCAGTTTCTCTCACTCCCTGTGATATATAACTACCAATACATAGTGGCACTGTCTTTTTTTTTATCAGGGGAAAATACACTTTTCTTGTTAAGGATTTTAGATGCCGTATGCATCCTTAAAATGCTTTTGGGAGAAAGGAGCTGTGTAAGTCTTGCATTATTTCATTAAAAATTATGAGTCAACAGGGCAGAATGTATTCTACAGTTTATGCCTGCCTGTGAACATTAGAACAAATCTCCCAGGTCAGGATTTGGTGGTGGAGTGTGGGAATTTTCCATGCCTTTTAGCATTGATGCCTATGACTTTTAGTCCAAGTTATCAGTTCAAAATGAATGGGAGCCATTTCCTATTCATTTTGTGAAGTGTGGACAGTGGTTTTGATAAATGAACAAGGCTTTGGATAATTTGAGTAAAATCCTTTTCTAGGTAACACCTTGTGCACTATAGAGACTAAAAAGAATGACGTTTTAGATAAAGGAAAAATGTGCATGTGAAGCCTATTGATAGAAAATTCTTTTGGTTATGTTCTGAATCTAAATCTGTAATCATAATAAAGAAATACATCTGTAGGCCTAGGAAGAGGGAAGGGAAAGGAGGAAAAAGGAGCCAAAATAAATGTTATTGGCAGTACAATAATGTTTTCTGATCATAGATTTTAATAAGAAGCCAAGATGTCTCAATGTAAGTTAAAAATGTAACATCAACTTTGTAGAGGGGAATTAGGAAGAATACATACACAAACACACACACACACACTCACACACTACATCATTACAATGACCTTGAAGTCACAATATTAAAGGAAAAAGATAAAAGAAAGCTGGAAAAACTGGAAGAGCGCTTACTATTCTGCGCGCAGAAAATATTTAATTTAAACACTCTAAGAAATTACGTCCAAAGAATCATTATCCCAGGAAACATCTATAGAATGAATGTATTTCGAGATCTTCATTACAGTTTAATTTGCATAGATATTTTGGGGAACTCTAGGACTCTAAGTGTGTCCCTAGGATTTTATTTGCAGAAATGAAGTAAACTATGGATAAGCTTTTCTCAAGTCTTAAATACTAGGTTTGAGACTGCACGAAAGAAGCATAATAGACTCCACTCAGGCACACTCAGGGAGAATATCAAGATAGAGTGTGACACTTTACCCACTGTTAAGGAAGAGACTGAGAGCTTGAATGCTGACTCAGGGAATGGGGAAAGAGTGCTTGCTTCCTCAGTGTGGCAATAAGGGAATTGGGCAAGTTCAGCTTGCTGGCAGAACTATGTTACACTGCAAAGCATGAGACGGGTTCAATGGAGCGAGTCTGAGCAACCCTTTAGGGCAGGGTATCCCAAACTTACCTGACTACTGAAACATGTTTAAGTTACAATGCATTAATGGAATACCAACAGAAGTGACAGGACATATTGCATACTTTGATCAAAGAAGACCTCAAACATGACCGGTCTTATATCTGATTTAAAAGCTGCAAAAAAGGGGCAAAACTTATTCATATGTGTGCTGTAGCTTTATAGCACCACCAACCAGATAATTTATTTTATTTCATTAATAACAAGAAACCTAATTATTTCAAGCTTAAGTATAATAAAATATCAAAACATTTTTATCAGGACAGTATATTAAAAATTATTTTTATAGCATATTCACTTAATATTGTTATATAATATGAAATCTTATTTTACATAGGAACTGTGTAGAAAAAAGAGAATAGGAATTGTATATTTTGCAACATTTGGGTAATCTTAGATGGACTGCTCTAAGAATTACTTCAAAGACAGGAAAAAATGAGATCCATCAACTTAATTTTGAAATATTCCAAATTTTACTTGTTGACGTGTTTTATTTAGACACAATTTGAAAACGATATGACTCTTCTTTTGTTTAATTCCCTCCTTTTTCAATTGTAGTTCATGGTAAATGGGATCATGAGGTATACATTTTTCATATGTGACAAACATTAAAACTATACAGTATTTTACAGTTGTAAAATGCTACTAAAAACCAATCATCTTCAAATAGACAATACATGTCAACCTGAGGGTTAAGTGGTAAATACTGCATCAAGGTGTAGATTAAAAGTCATAAAGTCGCTCTTGTGACTTCTGGGTGTGCTGGTGTGCATTTCTTTCTTTCTTTCTTTCTTTTTTTTTTTTTTTGAGACGGAGTCTTACTCTGTCGCCCAGGCTGGAGTGCAGTGACGCGATCTCTGCTCACTGCAAGCTCCGCCTCCCAGGTTCACGCCATTCTCCTGCCTCAGCTTTCTGAGTAGCTGGGACTACAGGCGCCCGCCACCACGCCCGGCTAATTTTTTGTATTTTTAGTAGAGACGGGGTTTCACCGTGTTAGCCAGGATGATTTCGTTCTCCTGACCTCGTGATCCGCCCGCCTCCGCCTCCCAAAGTGGTGTACATTTCTTAAAAGCAGAGAATTGTATGACAATTGTAGTTGTTTGCACATTTATTCAAAATTTTCATAAATTAATATATAAAATAAATGCGGAGACAAAAATACTTCTAGGTATGTGCCTCTCTGTCTCTCTCTCTCTCTCTGTGTATGTGTGTGTGTGTATGCGTGTGACCTTGAAGAACAGAGTTTGGGAATCGTTGCTTGTAATTGCAGAGAGCAATGTAACACTCTCCATTATCCAGTCAATTAAAGAAAGGTTCAAGGCTACGATTTAACACAAAAATTATATAAATTCTTTGGGAAAAGGTACTAGAAGTTGCTACTGTTTCCTGAACGCCCACCTGTCATTGTTGCCTTTATCAAGAATTGCTGCTGAAAACCATCCTAGAGACAGAAGCAGCAGCCATGAAAGGGGATTTTGCACTGAGCACAACCTTTAGGGCCATAAGGTCGGCTTGTAGAGGGTCTCTGCTCCTGTTTCTCAAACCACAATGCCACACTAGGAGAGGTCCACGTAACATTGGGGTTGTGTGGTGCTAGCAGGAGAGGGAGTAGTGGAGATAATGATAAGGATGATTTTATTGCTCCTTACTGAGGTGAAAGAATAACAGTTTCATAATAGGAAATCCAGTGTGGGTTAAATCCCAGCTTAAACTGGGTAAGAATTTAATTTCTCTACAGCAACAATAACTGCCCTTGGATTTCTGCTACAGTAGTATGACCTGGATGAAATAATTTAATATTTATATAAACCAATAATAAATTTAGAAGCAGGATACAGGTTGACTCAATGGATATTCCAAGATTAGAATGTGTAAATGGAATTAGTAATCTGAGTTCAAGCTGAGAACCATCATTGGTGGAGAAGTGGAATTAGGTTTTCTGTTTGAGTCATTCCGTACCTGGATCTTTAATCCTGGGAAGTCCACTGAGGCCACAGAGTCCTGCTGGTTCATAAGAACAGTACTGATATAAACCACAGTCTAGGTGCATGCACTTTCCCCACCTGATATCTGATATCATTGCTTAAAAAATCTTTTTAACTACCGTCCTAGTTTTTTTGTTTGTTTTGTTTTTACCTTTCCTTTCCATGCTTCTGGCTCTCCCCGCTCTACTGATGTGGTTGGGAGTTTTCTGCCCTTGCCACATTCTTTCACAGGGAAGCTCTCCCTGATTTCTGGCTACCTCGTGAGCATCCAGATGGTTCCTCTTCAGCCCTAGTAGGCAAGGAGCTGGAGAATCATGCAATATTTTGTCATTGTCTAAGACATCTCAATGTTGGAAACTAAGCACATGAAAACTCAACCATTTGTGAAAATCCCTATAAAAGGGCTAAAAGATAAACGTGATCAGTTTGAAAATCTGAGAGATTACCATAGGGACTCTGTATCATATCAATGCTGTATATTGAAACAAGTCATACACAGACTGTGTTTAATTGTAGACCAATGATATTACACTGTATTGTTTTAATCTTAGAAGCCTGGTATGTTTTTTAGGTATCATGGTTAAGAAAAAATATTAGAAGGGAATGAAATTAATAGCTTCAGCTAAATGTTTTGGGAAGACAGTGTCCTTTAGAGACAAGAGAAAGTCTACACACGTGGCTGTTCAAACTCAAAGGTTAGATGACAGATAACAGGGCATTGTCTGAAGGCTTTTGCAGTTCAGGTTCATGCTATCAAACTCTCTAAATTACACCAATATACAGCTGATAAGAAACTGTAATGGACCTTTCATTTCCTATCTGTATGGTAACTAGCACGAACACCATGTATGGTTATAAGATTGTTACCTATAAGACTTCATTCTGATAACTTCCTGTCAAGTGATGTGTTGCAGAAACTGTTTCCACCTTATCATCTCTTTTGCTACAAGATTTTCCATGCATAATATGACTTCAAAAAAAGTTTACATTTATTAACCCTCTGGATTATTTTAATGGAGTTTATATATCACAATATTGGTTATTTATTTTATATATATATAAATAATAAATATGAGATATAGATCAGATCTATTTATCTATCTACCAATAAACCAGAACTTATGAAGATGGAAATAGTCCAGGAAAATTGACTTTAAGAGCATTTTATTATGTAGTAACAGTTTACACAAATTTAAATATTAAATACTGACTTCCTTCTGAAACCTACATTTCACTTTGGAGAACATTCCCAGGTATAATGACATTCATATTTCATTTTTTTTACCCTTAGCCGTCTGACTTCCTTCTAAAGGCTCCTAAACCTATATGCCGGCCTGATCTTTCTCTTAGTTTCTTGACCTGAATTTCCATTTCCTTTTGAGCATTTTCATCTTGATGACAGGTCTGGAGACTTGGGTCTCTAGCTAAATATTTCTCAAAATTATTCTTCATGTTTTCTCTTTTCTCCAAACCTCCATGTGCTGACTTTTCTGAGCTTCTTTATGGTGGCCCTATTCTCTGGGTTACTCATCCTTCAAGTCGCTTTGCCTCTTTCTTCTCCCCAGCTCTGCTTGTTCACCTCCATTCAATTAGTTTCATCATGTGCTTCTGTGACCTGTCAGTTCTTTCCCAGTGTCTTCAGCACCTGTCCCTTTTTTGCCATTTCTGCTCTCACAGTCTCCCTGGATTTTGTCATGTCTGTTTTTGGTTTCCCAATTGGAATTCACCTGTTCAATTTCACTTTCCTTATTCATCCTATATAATGTCCATATTAATATATTGCTGAACTTGTTGAGAGAAATATTTAATTGTTCCTCTTACTTCCTGAATAAAGTCAAATGACGATAGCCTGATACTCAAGACTCTTCAAGGTCTGGACTATGTGTACCTCTCCAGACTCAGTGACCATGATTACCTTTCCTATAACCTGCAGCTCAGCCAAAGTGGACTACTTGCATTGCCTAAGCATGCTCTGTTCCTTTCTCATCACATTCTGTATGAGAAATTTGTTTCTTCCCCAAATCTGTCCCTCATGGTCTAGCATAGCTGTCTTCTTTTCAATAAAGTTCTGACTAAGTGGCAGTGTGCATATGTTCTATGATGGGCAGATCTATGCAAACATACTCCCAAAGTCTGAGGAAGCTGAGAGGCTGAAGAAAAAGGCTGACAAATCCAGCTGCTTAGAAAGAAACATTTAATAAGGACTTAGGAACAGAAGCCATGTGTGTGTCTTGGGCAGTGGCAAGACAAGATGGTGGATCCCTGTGCCATTACCCCCCAGACCCATGGCTTATATACCATAGGGAAGTAACATGTAGGACAATGAAGTTGACCTCCCAAGGAAAGGCAAGAATGCTATGTGAACGTAGCATTGATGGTCAAGGTTGTTTTGACCCAAGGGCAAGATTTATGGTAAGTACATGCTCTTACGCAAAGAACAATAGATAAACTGGAAATCTTAAAGATTCCAGTTCCTTCTTGGAACTGGGGTTAATCAGAAGTTAGCATAGTGGACTGGCAACCAAGATGGAGTTGATTTGGTCTGCACACCATATTTTATCATTTCCATGATAAAGCCTGTATGTCATAATGAATTTTGCTTCCCTCAGTAGATGCTAAATAAATGTTTGTCAAATAAACAGAAGAAAATTTAAAAAAAACTAAGAAAATTGAATTTCATCACATTTGCATGTGGCAGCACACATTTAAGGGTAAAATCAACAATTGCCTAGTCCTTTTCAAGAACTGAGGCAGATGATTCATGTTTATACACATATCTCTGACATTGCATCTCCTGTTCTTAAGTCTTTAGGATATCTTATAGAAGATAGTCATGGGATAGAAATTGGTGGATAATGTCATCTCTTATAGTAATTTTTTCCTTTGCTATTATAAACTAAGTAAAAAGTCAGTTTTGTGTAAAATCATGCCTTGGTTCTAATTATATCTAAATTTAATGGTTATAGTTTCCCCTTTCTGAGGGTGGCTCTAAGGATCATTACTATGCTTTGATCATTACTGGCTTTGAATGGAAGAGACTGAAAAAAAAACACTTGTTGAGGTGCATTAAAACCTTTTTGTTAGGATGGCTACATTAATTTTAGAATATTTGATTGAAAATTCCCTAAAACAATATGTAACTCTATATGCAGGAAAAGTTTTTTAAAAAACAAGTGTGTTAGATTTTGTCACATTGTGGTCATATCCTGAAATATCCTGAAACTTATCATAAGTCAGTGTAAGTCAATCATTAAAAATAAATTGACCAGTTTTCAGTTTAATAATTATTTTCTCAGCCCCCTTCTTGGGCAAGTCATATTACCTACTTGAGCCAGACTCTTCTATCTATTGAGATAGTAGCAATAACTATCTCCCAGGTTTGTTGTGAAAATAAAGTGATACCATGAGTATAACACAATTTTTAAATTATAAAGTGATATAAACATTATTATGTACATATACATGTATAAAAATAATTTATTACTAACACACATGCTTGTAGGTATCCTGTAAACTCTTTTGTCTTATACTCCAAAGGGCTCAGTCCACTGGCCTTGGACCCTTAGAAGGACTGTTAATGGCTCATATAGCCACATGTGTAACAAACATTTCCCTTTAGAACAAACAACTAGTATATTGTAAATGCAGTTGAAGTGCTGATTTTCAAATGTTTGCATAAGCACTTGTGGTTACAAACCATACATTCTGCTAAACTTTTTACTGGATTAGAGTTTTCTTATCATCATGCTCTTTTCCAGTCAATGAATTATGTACTATGAAGGTGTGTGTCTATTATCTTGTGGGCAGAGAGCCTTCAAAATTTTTGCCATTAAAATGGGGTTCTGGTACTTGAAGCACTTGGGAAAAACAGTTACACTGTTTGGAAATCCAAAAGAAACTACTCTTTAGTGTTGGAAAAAAATTATGAGCTATTTACATACAGTAGATTGATAAATATGCTATTTTTTTCTTATGAAACATCTATAAAGCAAGCATTTAATTTCATAATGGTCTATATGTGACTTCTAAAGTCAAGCTGAAATAATTCATTTCTCTAAAAATCTTACAGAGTACATATACAAATCAGGGGAAAAAATGCAATTAAAATCTCAGCCTCTATTAAGTTACTTGAGAAATAAATGTTGGCTAAGGCACTGGCGTGGTATAAGAAGCTGCTGGTCTGCACATGCAAGGCAAATAATTATTATATTAAAAATTACAGTTTTTAAAACATTTGTTTCTCATCTGGCATCAAATAAAGTTTAATTGCAAGTTGTTTTATGTCATTTTCTCTTGGGGATGTGTTTTCAAAAAGATACGCAGGAGGTTCATATGTACACACATCTCATTATTTCTCAGTAGGATTCATGTTTGTGCCACCTACTCATGATTGGAAATGCATACTCTAATGTCTTCAATTTAGGCTTGTACTGAGCTTTTATAACAATATAATTCTTCTTTTGCTACATAGTTCTGTAGGCCGTTTCACAATGAGATTCCAAATTGCCAAAAAAGCAAATCAGCCAACCAAAAGCCCTTAATGACTCTCAACAATTTCTTTGACATATTTAAGCAAAATATTCTGTTCCCTTTAACAAAAAGGCACAAAATTTTGGGTTTGGGTTCGAATTATATTTGGCTGGCAACTGCTTATAAAATTGAGCAGCAGATACTGTAAGAAAACAGATTATATGTGGATTCTATTTCTTTCCTGGACAGGCTGTGTTGTAAATATTTGCTTTTACCATCAGCGTAAGAGAGGAAAGCATTCTCCTCTCTCCACAGTTTAGAAATGGCTTTAGAGAAATTGTATAACAATCATACAGGAAGCCCCTCAAAATAATGCTTTTGATTTCCTTGATTATTGTTATGAAAAATCTTGAAAAATTTGGTGTTAAAATAATCTTGTTTAGACATTTTCTTAATGTGTTGAAAAAAAGAAGAAATCAGCTCTGTTACAGATCCAAGAGGCTGCAGGTCTCTGAATTTATTTAACGGCGATCTTAAATAAGAGCAAAGAGTATTTGAAAATATGTGTAATGCCATGATTCCAAAAGAAGAAAATGGGGTTTTTTGAATTGCAGACAGGGGCAGCAACATTGAATCATATTTCCTGGGATTTTCTGATTACAGTGAAAACATGTCAGTGGCTTCCTGTTGCTCTTGGGGTTTGTCCTCAACAGAGCTTACAAGGCCCAGGAAGATCTGGTCTCTTCTCAGCTCCTCCGACTCATCTCTGAGGGCACTCTGCGTACTCCTTACCCCCACCCACACAGGCTTCCTTTCAGCTCCTCCTATCTGCCTGAGCTGCCTTCCAATGTAAGACTGTTGCACAGGTTGTTTCCTCTACTTGGAAGGCTTTGTGTGCCTTCTTCTCTACTACTCAGCCTCCTCCTTCCTCTATTAAACCCTCACTTATCTTCCTACCTGAGTCAGTCCCCCACAATACCCTCTGCATATCACCAGGTGTCTCTTTTGTAGCACTTGCCACAGTTATCATATTTAGTTGTTATAGGTCTTTTCTAAGGCACTGTGAGTTCATGAGGCTGAGAACTCATCTGTTTAGTTCACCATGGTAATATACCAACAGTGTGCCTGGTACAGAATAAGCACCCAAATATTTACTAAATCACTAAAAAAAGGACTCCTACTCTATCATTCTCTATTCCAGACCCCAGTAAATTTAACAGAACAAACTTCATTTTCTGGCCAACATTTCCGTTCCTTACAACGCAGACTACATCATCTTATTGCTGAATATGTACTAGCCATTGTATTTGTCTACCCAGGTCATATGGGAACAATATATTGCTGATTTTTAATGTCCTATGACATGCTTTGTCTATGAAAGGTGGCATACAAAAATCAAATCTTTTTCTATTCTACTTCAACATTCCATTTTGTATAAAGTAATCATAAACAACCCCCTCTGAAGGCCACTTTCCCTCAAGGTAATCTGGCAAACAGTGATTCTATAGCAACAACAGGAAAGCACTGCATCATTTTATGAGCCTTGCCTTTATTTCTCCAGGCACTGATACTGTGCTAAATCCTTGCTGCCTCAAGGGGCTGTCTGCTAGCTAGAAACCAGTGACTATAACCTGATGCTGTACAAATGCTATCAGAAAAGTCCTGTCAATCCACTTCTTCTAAGTACTTACCTTGGTTAGTTAGCAAAGGCCATCAATTTAAAATAAATAAATAAAGTGAGCCAAAGGCCTAATGCAATGATCTAATCAAGCAAAAAGCGATTACCTAAGTAATCATTTAGGAAAGGGCTTAGTTGGTTCTGGCTTAGAATGAACTCACATTTCCACATGTCACTCTGTCAGCCTTCCTTATTATTGTCACTGCTGTTATCAGCATAGCCCATGCATTTCTATCTTATCTCTTACCTCTTTCTCCCTGTCCTTATCCATTTGGAACCACTACCTAGGAGCTCTTGGCCCTAGAGTGGACTGAGTGACTGCTTTTCTGAAACCAGCTGGATACAATCAAGGGACGGAACAGGAGCCCTTTGCTTTTCTCACTGTGGAGAAGCCTCTTGGAAACTTCTCAGCTCCCAATGCCCAGGTTATTGTAAATTCCTTTGTTGTCAAAGGAGCCAGTCACAGACACAGAGACAAAATTGCCTGTCAAAATATTTGCAAAAACAAATGCAGGTTATAGATTTTATTACTAGCTAAACCTTAACATCTTTAATTAGATATTCCAAACAATGGAACCCTTCCCATACCATAAAGTGAAGTAAAATGGGCCATCATTACATCACATTGAAGTTTAGAAGTAAGCAGTTCTTTTTATTGTCTGATCTAGTTTTCATATTTCCTTGCTTCTGTGTTTACAGAAAATGGAAAGAAAGCTGTTTGTATGTTTAGAAAATTTCAAGATGGCCACTGTCATCTAAATTAGAATTTTTGGCTCATTTCTAGTTTGCATAGAGCCCTGGCCCTTTCTTTAATAACAATAATAACAAATGCAAACCTAAAACAGTTTTGGTCTTGAGTTTGCATTCCATCCATCTTCTTTGAAATGTTGAAACATCTGGTTTTAAGAAAAAAAATTAACTTCAAAATGTTTGGAGAGAAAAAGGCAGCCCACAAAATAAATCAGGGTCAAGTGTTGTTATTTCACGGGTAATTATAAAGCAGTCCAATTTATTAGTAAATCTTGCATCATGCTTACTTATAGCCACAGCAATTGTAATTGTTCTTAGGCTCTCATTGGAAAGTGGGTAAGTAACATGGTTTAGGAAAATATGGGACCAACTATCATGGCAAAAAATATCATGTGGTCTTGTCATACCTTGCTTTCCTAAGTTTTCCATTTTGCAAGTAATTTTTTGTCTTTCTTTAGTTTATTTTCCCCAGTTAATTCATGAATTTTTACCAACAGTTACTTGGAAACAAAAAGACGCCCACAATAAATTATTGAAAAGAAAATGCTTGCTAGTTTAATTGAAGAGCAGATGGTTGGCTCAAAGGGTCTTCTTACTGTGTTTCAATAGCACAGCAAGGAAGAGGGGGACAGGTTGCAGTGGCCCTATTAAGCTAACACAAACAACTTGGACGAGGGAGAGCCTCAGCATTTTGAGAAAGCCAGCTTCTTTGAGACTTTATTTATAGTTCAAGAAGACTCCTCAGCCTCTCTTTTCAAGCAAATGGGCTGAAAGGGATCGTTAAACTAGTCTGCAAGAGAACATAAACCCTTCATGAAAACCGGGGGTGCAAACCTTTCAGACAAGGCAATACGAGGATTTAAAGCAATCAGCTTCACTTTTCTCTAAGGTCATTATGAATTCATATAGTCTTACATTGTAAGGGAAATGTTCACTTATTTACCAACTGCTGAATGTTTGGTTGCCTCTCCAAAGAACCTGCAATCTTGTTTTTACAGTCAATGAAACAGATCCATCTTCTAGCCCTGTAAGTTAGTGTTTTCTTCTCCTGTTTTCACCAGTTTACACAGATTAAGTACTAAAGACTGATGGTTAAATAGAAAAGCATTGGCCTAATTGTGAAATCCAGCAATTAGATTAGGAAACTATATTTAATGGTTTTCTCTTTGGGAAATTTGTGCATATAAATAAACTGTTTAATCTTTTCCTTTCTGTCAAATAAATTAGATACAGCATCAAATACAGTTTATTTCCGCTATAACTTAAAAAGTGAAATTTAGGCAGTATCTATGCAATACCACATATCTGAGTGGGAATTAGGACATTTGGTAAAATACTGAAATCAAACCACACTTGGGTGCATTGTCCAACTTTAAATGTCTGTTTATATTAGAATCAATTATCTGGAAAATTACTAAAAAATTTAGAAGTGAATAAAATCTGGAAAGATAACCACAACATCTTTAAATTAAAGATGCTTATAGTTTTACTTATGAGTGTGGTTCCTGATTGTCAACCGGAGCCTACACATTCTTATTTCACTTACAGTTCTAACAAACTTTGCTATCTCAGTTTCTACATTGCAATAATTTATACATTGTGCTTAGAAGAGAAAATGTTTCTGAGACAGGAACATTGATAACAAAATCATGAAAAGAAGTGGTAGTTGGCAACAAGAAAAATGGCAGAAAAGTTCTGAAAAAACTCCAAAAGATTATAGCTTGGATCTGTTTAATGTGGGATCAAAGCCTAAACATCCTACAGCTGTTGTTTCTCAAGCTTCCCTGGTAATAAGAATCACCTGGGGCGGGTGGGGTGGTGGTGGTCGGGGGGGCGCTTGTTAAAGACTTTTCTAGTTCTTCTCTTGGAGGATTTGATTCAGTGTGTCTGCTTAGGACCCAGAAATCTGTACTATAACAAGTAATACAGGCCGTCCTTAGCAATGTTTGGGAAACACCGCTTCATGAGTAGAAGGGCTTATAAAGACATCAATAATTGATGTACAGATGATATTTTAAGACATTCAGAAGAGGCTAAGTCATGTATGTCATTTTCTGTGGAAGATGAAAAGAGTGGTTTAACTGCATTATTTAAATATTCTTACCAACAATGGGGTGTTTAAGGGGGCAAATTTCAGTAGGTGTAAGATTTACTTCTCTGTTACTCATCATTCCTTGACAAATTGTCTGTCGGGACTTAGTAGTGTGTAGAGAGCCATATTTAATGAAGAGAAAAGGTTGGGATTGTGAATGACATAATTTGTCATTAAACTTTTATAATTTGTGTTAAACTTGAGCTTCTCAAAGATAGCATTTTTCATCATTAACATAACATCATCAAGCCGAGAGCAAGTGCCTCTAGATAACATGTTGTATTTATTATTTTAGGTTTTACTATTATATTAGATTCCCGCAGGTATTCAGACTAGCTATATATGACTCAGTGAATTCATAATCTAGAAGAATTTACAATTGCATTTTAATCCAGAGTTTAAAAAGTTACTGATAACATCAACATATGTGAAATAGCAAATGTTATTGAGTTAAATTATTTTCTCAGGGTGAAATGGATTGAGCCATGTCTATCATAACATTCTGGAAGAGGTAGAATTTCGGGTTAAAATGATACTTTTTTTGTATGGCTGTGGAATTACTAAAGACAACTTTCAGAATTTATTCCCTGCCTTCAGTGAAGATTTTATCATCTGATCTCTCAATCCCAAATCCTGCCATCCTTCTTGGGTGCTTCAATATCCACTTGGATGACCTGTCTAGCCAACGACTTAGGCTTTCAATTTCTTATTTTTGATGTCAATGATGTGACCTTTGTATTTAAGCCACTTCAGCTATCCTATCCCATCGTTGCATGTTGGGTCTTCTTATAAGCCCAAACTTCTTTTGAAGTATTGACTTCATCCATCTCACTCCATGTGTTTTATATACCTCCATTCTCCAATTTACTTTTTTCTGCCGTACAGTTTCTGGAATATGTGGGAACTTCTGATCCTTTGTCTCTTCCACTTACCCCAGAAAATCTGCTTTCATCTTCACACCCTTCCCAAACCAAATTAGGTGCTCTCTCAATATCCCTAAACTGTGTTGCCTTCTTGCTTTTCAATTGTACCTTTTCTGAAAAGCCTCAATGCTGTGTAACTCAAACTAGATTAATCTTAGATCAGTACAGTTCCACAACTTTTGAAAATCAAACAAACTCAAAGACAGGCACTACTTTAGATTCAGGGTTTCCCTAATCAACTTGTCCCTCAACAGGGCCAAGCAACACTTCTAGGAATCATGAGTTGGTTCCCTTTATTGCTTTCTGGGGTGACACTTCCAACACATCTGTATGTTCCTTGAAACTCTGATCTTCCCTTCTCCCCTGTTCTCAACAGATAATCTTGTCTCTGACTTCAAAGTGAAAATGTAATCCATCATAAAGAAACTCTGTCAACTTTATGCTACCTTTCAACTGTGATAGTACTTCCTTCTGCCTATTATTAATCCCTCTGTCTGTGTCTGGAGCATTCTTTTTCTTGTTAAGGATTTCGTCTCCCTCTTTTTACTTCAGTCTCTCCTTATTGGTTAGTATTCGTAGTTCAAATGTTTCTCATGTTTTAAAAAAAAAACTATATACAAACCTTCTCTCCCCCTCAGAGCCCCTCCACCTTAACGTATATCTCTTTTCTGATTCACAGTTAATGTTATTTAATGAGTTGTATACACCATTGCCTTTATATTTCACCTCTACTTGTACTTGAACCTCAATAACCTGGCTCTGTTTCTAGGACTCTGCTGAATTTGTTCACACCACGTTCACAGATCTATGTCTTTGTTATTAAACATAATGAACAGTTCTTAATCTACATTTTACTTGGTTTTTCTGGAACATTGGACATTATGGACCATAAATTCCTTTGAAACATTCTCTTTTCTGGCTTTTGAAACTTCATATTTTTCTTGCTTTTCTATGACTTCTCTTTACCTCTTTTGAAGACTCTTTTAAGTACCAGCTAAATTTGGGTTTCCTCCAGTTTTAGTCATTGGTCCTTTACTTTTCTCACTTAATACACTCATTTAATACTGCTGTTTCTATAGCATCTATATTAAGGTGACACTCAACTCACATCTTCAATCTCTATCCCTCTGTTGAACTTCAGTCCTATATAGCCAGTTTCCTTCTGTGCACGACATACTTGGGAATATGACATACTTACTGTCAGAATTCTCAATCAAACCACAATCATCCCTCACTAGGATCACTGAAACAGTCTTTTAATGGCCTCTCAGCCTCTAGACTCATCCACAATTCAGTCAAGATAGTATTTTTAAGTGCAAAGTTGATCTCTAATTTCTGTTGGAATACTTCCAGAGGCTTCCCACTGCTCTCAAGGTAGTGGACTATGGCTTACAAAATCCTCCACTATCTCAACCCAATCCAGCCTTGTTGCTCAGCATTTTTTCATGAGTTCCATGCTTTAGATATATTAGACGTATTTACTTTTCTTGATTGAGCTAGGTCATAAAACACTTCTAGGTCATTATATACTGTATTTTCTTGGCCTGGGTATTTTCCTGTCTTTACTTTTTATGTTAGTTCATGCTTGTATTGCTATAAAGGAATACCTGAGGCTTGGTAATTTATAAAGAAAAGAGGTTTAATTGGATGATGGTTCTGCAGCTTGTACAAGCATGGCTCTAGCATCTGCCTCTGGTGAGAGCCTCAGGAAATTTACTCTCATGACAGAAGGCAAAGAGGGAGCCAGTGCATCACATAGTGAGAGAGGGAACAAGGGAGAGGGAGCAAGAGAGAGGGCAGGGAGGTGCCATACACTCTTAAACAATCAGATCTCATGAGAACTCAGAGCAAGAACTCACTTATCACCAAGGGGATGGCACTAAGATCCTCTTGGGATCCATCCCCGTGATTCAAACACCTCTAAGCAGGACCCACCTCCAACACTGGGGATTACATTTCATCATACGATTTGGACAGGACAAACATTTAAGCAATATTAACTTCCAGCTCCACCCTTGAGGTCTTAGCTTAGGTGTCTCTTCCTCCAGAAAGTCTTCCTGATCACTCATCTTGGGTGAGGTGATTATGTTACGTGCTCACATAGCAATTTAAAGTTCCCCTCTCTTAGTACTTACCATGCTCATTTGTACTCCCCATGAAACCAAAGGCTTCTTGAGAAAAGGGACTGTGTACCTTTGCCACAGTTGTTCTCCAACACAGCATAGTCTCTGGGACAAAATAGGTACTCAGTTAATAATAAATCAGTGAATGAATATATTTCCATATGTGGGAAACTTTATACAATAATGAGAGAAAAACTGGGAAGACCTAAGAAGTGAAAGCTTTTTGCCATGAGATAGTTACAAATAGGGTCTTTGAGAAAAGAAAAAGCATTGCTTCTCTCCTGGGCTGTTTTCTCTGAGGCATTCTTCACAGGTCTTATCATTGGAAGGAAGGAACCACATGAATACAGTTTTAATCATAGTGTTTTATTGTAGTATTCACAATCTTCTGTTTACCTGCAATCACCAACAGGATATAGGATTCTTCAACATATAAAAATAAGAAGAAAAGAGACTGCTGAATGTCATCCTCTTTCTTTCCATTGTGCACCCATTCACATCACTATGGTATGAGACCACTAAATCAAATCTTATGTTTTTTGTAGCAAGCATACATGCAGGTGAAGCAAATCTGCTAAGATAGCACAGCAAGTCCTTTCAGGGTGACATTTTAATTATCTCAGGAATATTTTCTCTTTTTTCATATCATATTTTCTTGATAAGAAAATATGTAAACGTAATTGTATTTTATTAACATCAAGTGATAAAATAGTATTAAAAGATTCGACTAAGTTAAGCAGTTTTTTTTTTTAAACTGGTCTCAGATGAGACTTTTCTTCAGTTCCCTTTCTCTAACTACAGTAAATTACATTTCTCTAACTTTGAACACTTTGATCATACCTTTTTGCATACCTTTTAATTCTTCCTCCCAAGGGGGAGGGTAGAACATGTGTTTGAAAGAGTTTTATCCCTAACACAATCCATGTGACCTCCATGTCTTCTGAAATGATTTCTGGTGGGAATGCTAGTGATTTCGAGGATCACATGTAATTTCCTGCTGAGCTGTTTAGCATGTGCAAATTACCATTTGACCTCCATAGTGACATATTTGTCATAGCAATTTTCACTTCTAGTGAAACGAGTTAAACTGCCTCAGTAAAAGTGATTTTAAGCAGTAATTCTTCATACAAAACCTTTCACATAAATCTGCCATTATGTGTTTTAAAGATTGATACCTGGGCTTCAGATATTTCTTTTCATGTTGTTTTTAATAAGAAGCACAATATTTCCATAACTCATATTTGGAATGGTTCCTGGTTTTGGAAGCAGATTATTAAAACTGAGCATATGGAGGTCTTAAAGTAGAACCTTATGGGGGAAAAACAGTTGATCAAGTCTATTTTGCAGCACTGAAAAATTAAATGCTTACAAAATCTTGGTAAAGCAAGGTTTATTTTTTATAACTTTTTAAAAACCCAAATTAGTGAACTATCTGTGGCGGGTAAGAATATGACCACACAGAAAACTCCTTTGTCATGATCATTTTTAAACAATCAGAATGTTCCTTTGCCTACATTTTTTTCACTTACTATTGTATTTCTTAGGAGAAGTCAATGGACTTTTTTGAAAGACAATCTTAAAAAGGAAGTTGAATACTCAGTGATTGACTGTGCAGATGAAATAGAGAAAAAGGTGAGACTAATCCGAATTAAATGGAGCAATAAAATGAGAATCTGGTTGAAAGAACTTGTTTCTTGCATGCCAAAAATTCAGCACCATCAGAAGGTTTGCCCCGATTCAAATGTAGTCACACACAACATTCACCTCTCTCCCCCATGGACTTGCTGTTTTCTCTAAGAAATGTAATCAGAAAATGTTATGCCATTCAAATATGCACAGTGATTGCCCTTATTTACTCACCCAAATTTCCTGAGTACCAAATGTCAGCACTCTACTATGCACTTGATACCCAAAGACAAATAAGATACTGTTCTTTAAACAATTCTAAAACATTTTAGAGATGATTGCAATAGTATATGATATATGTACTCTTGGAAGTGTATTTTGGGTGCAACAGGAATTCTGAACAAATTAGGCATTCATTAGATAGATATGGGCAGGAGGAAATAAGGGCATCTCCAAATTAGGAGGCATTAAGTTTGTACTTGTTAAGAGAATTGTGCTTAGTTTGGTGTGGTTAGATTTCAGGATGAGTGTGGGGGAGTGGCAAATGATGACTCTGAAAAGACAAGCTGAACCTATTCTTATAGGCAGTAGGAAACTGTTCACAGCTTTAAGTAGAAAAGTAACACAATCAGATTTGCTCTTGGAAAGATGCCCCTGGCAGTAAGATGGAGCACGGACTGAAGGATGGTCAAATTATATTAAGAGACCAGTTAGGAGCCTATTGCATCCAAAAATGATGAAAGCTTTGAATTCTAGCCATATACTGAAGTTAGAAAGTTGGGAAAATTTTGACAGGTTTTTTTTTAAAGGAAGGCATAACTTACTGAATTTACTGAACTTCAAATGTAAGAAAAGAAGAATGAGAAATCTGAGATGGTTCTCGGGTTCTGAATGGGATGGCTGGGTTTATCTTGGTACTGTTAAACAAGAGAGGATTATAAGGAGGATGATCTCCTTGGGAAGAGAATAAAATGAGATCAGTTTTAGATTTGTTAATTTGAAGAAATCAGTAGGGATCTATGTATGTTGACACGTTCAGTAAACTGTCAAAAATTTAAGCCTTAGATCAAAGGGAGAAGAAGTCTGGGTAATAGATTGCAAATTATCACCATGTAGGAAACACAATTAGTAAGATTAGATTATCCAGTGTGTGGAGAAGACATTTTGACTTAAATAATATAATGTTTCCATTTTTATTCATGGGACACTTGAATGAAACCATTTCATTGAATTCATTTTGTGGGCAGGAGGATTACAGCTGGTAATTTTTATTTTTTATTTATTTTATTTCAATAGCTTTAGGGGTACAAGTGTTTTTCATTACGTGGATGAATTGCATAGTGCTGAAGTTTGAGATTTTAGTGTACCCATCACCAAAGTAGTGTCTTTGTACCAAATATGTAGTTTTTAAATCTTTCACCCTCCTCCCATCCTTCCCCCTTCAGAGTCTCCAATGTCCATTATACCATTTTGTTTGCCTCTGTTTACCCATAGATTAGCTCCCACTTATAAGTTAGAAGATATGGTATTTGGTTTTCCATTCCTGAGTTACTTCATTTAGAATAATGGCCTCCAGCATCTGGCCTACAGTTGCTGCTGGCCTCCAGTTTTATTCTTTTTTAGGGCTCAGTAGTAGACCCTGGTTCATATATATCACATTTCCTTTATCCACTCATCAGTTGATGCGCACATAGGTTGGTTCCATATCTTTGCCACTGTGAATTGTGCTGTGATAAACATATGTGTGCAAGTGTCTTTTTGATATAATTTCTTTTCCTTTGGGTAGATACCCAGTAGTGGGATTGCTGGGTTGAATGGTAGTTCTACTTTTAGTTCTTTGAGAAATCGCCATACTGTTTTCCATAGAGGTTGTACTAATTTAAATGCCCAGCAGCAGTGTATAAGTTTTCCCTTTTCACCACATCCATGCCAATATCTATTTTTTTTTTTACTTTTTATTAATCGCCATTCTGGCTGGGGCAAGGTGGTATCTTATTGTGGTTTAAGTTTGCATTTCCCCGATGATTAGTGATGTGAACATTTTTTCACGTTTGTTGGTTGCTTGTATATCTTCTTTTGAGAATTGTCTATTTATGTAATTTGTCACTTTTTGATGGAATTATTTGTTCCTTTCTTGCTTATATGTTAGAATACCTTGTATATTTGGGATATTAGTCCTTTGTCAGATGCATAGTTTGAAAATATTTTCTCCCATTCTGTGGATTGTCTGTTTACTCTGATGATTTTTTTTCTGTGCAGAAGCATTTTAGTTTAATTAGGTCTCATTTATTTATTTTTACTTTTGCTGCATACGCTTTCGGGGTTGTAGTCATAAATTATTTGCCTAGGCCAATGTTCTGAAGGGTATTTCCAACTTATCTTCCAGAATGTTTATGGTTTTAGGTCTTAGATTTTGGGTCTTTAATCCATCTTGAGTTGATTTTTCTATGTGGTAAGAAGAGGGATCTAGTTTCATTCTCTACGTATGACTACCCGGTTTTCCCAACACCATTTATTGAATATGGTGTTATTTCTCCAATTTATGTTTTTGTATGCCCTGTCAAAGATCAGTTGGTTGTAAGTATTTGGATTTATTTCTGGGTTCTCTATTCTGTTTTATTGGTCTATGTTTCTACTTTATATCAGTACTATGCTGTTTTGGTTACTATAGCCTTGTAATATAATTTAGAATCAGGAAACGTGATGCCTCCAGATTTGTTCTTTTTGCTTAGGATTGCTTTAGCTATTCAGGCTCTTTTTTGGTTCCTTATGAATCTTGGGATTTTTTTATTATGTAAAAAATGCTGTTGGCATTTTGATAGTAATTGCATTGAATTTGTAGATTGCTTTGGGCACTATGGTCATTTTGGTGATACTGATTCTTCCAGTCCATGACCATGAGATGTATTTCCACTTGTTTGTGTCATCTATTATTTCTCTCATCAGTGTTCTGTAGTTCTTCTTGTAGAGATGTTTCACCTCCTTGGTTAAGTATATTCCTAGGTATTTTATTTTTTTTTATTTATTTTTTAATTTTATTATTATTATACTTTACATTTTAGGGTACATGTGCACAACGTGCAGGTTTGTTACATATGTATACATGTGCCACGTTGGTGTGCTGCACCCATTAACTCGTTTTGCAGCTATTGTAAAGGGAATTGAGTTCTTGATTTTATTCTCAGCTTAGTAATTGTTGGTATGTAGCAGTGTTACTGATTTGCGTATATTGATTTTGTAACCCAAGACTTTACTGAATTCATTTGTCAAATCTAGGAGTCTTTTGGAGGAGTCTTTAGGGTTTTCTGGGAATATGACCATATCATCGGCAAACAGAAATAGTTTGACTTCTTTTCCAATTTGGATGCCCTTTATTTCTTTCTCTTGCCTGATTACTCTGGCTAGGAATTCCTCACTGGCAATTGTTTTTAAAAGTTAACGTTTAATAACTGTTTTTGGAGCATTATTAAAAATACTCATGACATCAAAACCACACAGTCAAAGAAGCTATGTCAAAAGGACATCTTAAAACACCTGTGTCAGAATATCTCACTCCTCAGAGAGTGTGTATAGAGTGAGGAGAGGATCATATCCTGAGGAATTCCAACATTTAATAGGCAGGTAAATGAAGAGTAGGAAAACATGGAGAGAGAAGGAAAATAGAGTCAGAGACTTAGAAAGAGAACCAGGAGAATGTAATATAATGAAAGTAAAGGGAGGAGGAGAATTTGTGAGGAAGAAGAGAGTCAGCTGATAAGGTTTCCGCAATGAGGATACTACTGCTCATCTTAGAGATGTCAAGAGGTGTCTATTTGGGATGCAAAAGTCAAAGAACAATGGATCAAGGAAATAGAGGAAATAAAGATATCCAAAAAGCTGTGGCAGAAATTTGTCATTAAAATAAGAAGAGAAATTCTGTAGTAATTTGGAAATGATTCAGGATCAAAATGAAGGTTTTGGAGGTATTTTTGTGTGAGTTAGGGTTGGACGATGGGTTATCTGAGACTATTTGAGGTTGTAGGAAAGGAGCTAGTAATTAGAGGGAGTTTGAGCGTACAAGAAAAAGATGAGGATTCCTTTAGGAGGAAATGTGATTATTATTGCAGGAGAGGGGTTAGCCTTGACAGAAAGAAACCACATTTTTCCTTCTGAGACAAAAACATTTAGTAAAATATAGGCACCAAAATAAGTAAGTTCATATGTGAGTGAATATATGCAGGAATACATCAAGGAAACTCTGAACTTCATTTCAGATAGCTGTTATTTTCTTAATGTAGTCTGAGTTATTGATTGCGGCCAAGAAGATAATAGCGGGCATAGGGTAGACAGTATAGGTAAATGTTTTGAAGAACTGCTCTGAGGAATATAAATAAAAGCTGATTAGGAAAAATAAAAATATGTAGAGCAATCCTGAGGGACAGTGCAATATTTTTATTTTTAAGGGGCCAATCTGAGATATGAGGAAAGGAAGGAAGTAAAGAGAGTGGCAGTATAGATAAATTTACTGACATGTGCTTGAAGGTAGGAGGGGGCTGTGAAGAGACCAAAGATTCTGTGTAGACAGGTTTGTCCTTAATAGCTTCTAATTCCTATGTATGGCTGGAGGTAGGCAATGTGAGGAGAGGGTGTGGGGCCATGGATATGGGCGAGATCAGTGGCAGTTTCAAATCGCTACTCTGGAGGCTGGAAAGGGATTCAATTAGCAATGTGTAAAATGATTGTAGAATTAGGATGCTAAAACACCTCAAATTGGAAAGCATAAATGTGTAATACCACCAATCTGCCTGGTTGTGTGTGTGTGTATATTTTTTAAAGATGACAAATAGATCTTTGTGGAAGTGGAGAGGGGGTTGAAGGTTTTTAAGAAGGTTGTGAAAGGACAAAGGGGTAAGATTCGAAGTCTCTGATGAGGATGCAAATAAGTAAAGATGAGTTTAGAAGTTTAATGTAGTAAAAACATAAGGATGAATGTGGTTAATTATTCTTCATAAACCTTAACTTTTAATAGTTCATTAAATTTAATAGTTCATTAAATTTACTATAATTTAGAAGAACTTTAATTCTTCTATTAGTCCATTCTTCTGTTACTGACTGATTTGTAGCTCAATTATCCTTGAGGACAGTGGTCATATATGTTCATTTCTACTAAAAGTGCCTAAAAAAGTCATATGCAAATAGCAGATGATTGCTGTTTATTTTTGAACAAATGCTACCCAAAAATTCCTGCTGTGTGATTATATTCCAATAAAAAACAACAAAAATAGGATTATATGTTTTAATTACTTTACATTTTTCTTTTTTTCTTTTTCTCATAAGCATAGTTATTGAGGATGGGTTAATAGATAGTTGGTAACATTGGTGGATGATTTTAGACAAAGAGTTTATGTGAGTCTCTAGGATTGTCTATAAAGGCAAAGAAGAGAAAAGAAGGGAAAAGAGAAACAAAGCTCAAGCTTAGTTGGAGTAAGGCTTTGAATAAGAGAAAATACCATACAAGGAGTCGGGTTGAATAAGATTTCCTACAGAAAAAAAATAATAATAATTTTATTTTAAATAAAAGTAATGGGCTAGAAATGTGAAGATTAAAAGAAAAGGAATGAGGGATATCAAGTCAGATATTAAAGAAAATAATCTATTTTACAGTGCTTTTAAAATAATCAATGAGACTGAAATCTCCTGAATGAATTTGAACCAGAAATTCAATTCCTTTGAACAAGATAGGCTTTGCAAGTCCACATGGGACACTCAGCCTTAGACCTTTTCTAGAGTTCTGTAATTATATGATGATAAATCTGCTGAATATTACATTATCACTTTTATCATAAAAAAGAATTATTATTTCTTGCTTGCTTGTTCAAAATAATAAACAGAAAACTAAAGTCAATAATTATTTTCTTCCTTATTTCCCTTCACTTGATATTTAATAAGTTCTCTTCTATTCCCAAAACTAGAGGAGCACTTATATCTTGTAAATATTTGATAGTATGAGCAAAAAAACCCCACAGGATTTTCTTTTATGTTGTTTCCTTAGCAGAATAGTAAATAAATGGCATGGATTCTAGTTAATGCCCTATGACAGCCACTCACATTTTCTGGACTCTCCAGAGCCTTCTCTCCACTAACTTGGTCTCCAACCTCCACAAAGATGCAAGGGTAACTGCTACACTGCTCAACAGAATAAAGGAAGTGTCAGTGAAGAAACCAAACAATGCATTGACACTAATTAAGGCTGTTTTTTTAACATGTGCTATACAAGAAAAGACATATGGTATGTTTTAAGAGATGATGTCTCTGATTCAAGGGTAAGCCTGTTTTTTTTTAAGGAAATGTAAATAAAAGTAGAATTTGATGTGCAAGATTTGTTATGATTTAGCTATGTACCTATAACCATGCGTTTACTGTAATAGAATCTTTGTAGTGTGTTTCAGAATTACATGGTCAATTAAACTCTTAAGTATCTAAAGCTTGGCCAAATTTTAATTGTAAATTTATAACTTAGAGAATTAACCACATATATACTTCTTATTTTCCCTTTGCTAGGCTTCTGTGAAATTTAAACAATGTTGAATGTTTTCAGCATTAATTGATACCTTAGTAATCAAACACAGACAGTGTATTCAAGTGTTATAATTGCTTTTTGGGTTTAACAAGAAGTTCCTTACAATCTAATGCATTTGAAGAACATGTGAGAGCAGATTTTTATATAAATATGACTTTATTTTCAATTGAACTTTGAGACTTACCATTTATAAATGTTTTGAGAGTAGTTAATTGGTTACATTTGAAGGTTTTATAACCCAGAAGAGTACAGCTAGCATTCTACATACAACTGATGTTGAGAGGGCATCAAGATTCACCAATTTTCATTCATTGAACACAATTACAGAACACTTACTATGTGCTGGCTCTGACATGCAAGATTTATAGTTGTTATGAAGAAATGATACATCTGAAGGAATTTTGGTAAGCTTTGAAAAAATGGCCTCGTACTTGGAAAAGAGGAAAAAAGCAGGACTAATAATAACAAAGGAAAGGCTTACACCATGTGACAAAAAAGATAAGAAACAAAATATTTGATTAGAGTACAGTATCAAGAACAACCTTTTAAATAATTAGGCCCTTAAAATGTATATGTTAAATGA
This sequence comes from Homo sapiens, assembly GCF_000001405.40. Lineage (NCBI taxonomy): Eukaryota > Metazoa > Chordata > Mammalia > Primates > Hominidae > Homo > Homo sapiens. The sequence continues at coordinate 89,143,847 of NC_000005.10, forward strand.
GCAATGAGTGAATGAATAACTCTTTCCTTCAATTTTCGTGTTCTAAAGACATGCCATTGTCAAACCTGATAGACAAAATCTCTTATTAACTGATTTATTGGCTTTTATTAATTGACTGACTAGGGAAACAATGAGCAAGATGGGATTTGAGTGAGAGAGGGTATAAAGGGGGGAAATCACATTAAGAAAACAAGAAAATATCCTCAGGAGGAAAGAAAAAGTCAAAAAATTGTTAGTTTTTTCCAGATGTTTTCTTCAAGCTAGTTTATTATTTCCATTAATGCTCTATTTTAAACATTAATCTCAACACAGCATTTAACTGATTATTTTTACTTACATGAAAGAATACTTTATTTTTTATCTCCATTTTTAATTTTTGTTACATTTTTGTTATTTTGACTGGTATCAAGAAAAGTAATGTGTGACATCCTATTGTTTTTAAAAATAGTTGATAATGTGTTAGCCCTCATTAATCTCTATCGGCTTCTCCTAAATTGAATAACCTAACAAAGTTTAATATATCTGTTGCTAAATGTCTCACATGTTTAAATAATTTATCTTTACCTGGTTTTGTAATTTTTAACTTTCTAATAATGACTGGTTTTATAATCCAGTTTCTAATTTCCATTTGTTACATTCAGCGAACTGATCCCTGTCTCTGGAAACATTTTTAATGTCTCTCTATCTATCTATTTATCTATCTGACAAGATAAAGAAAAAAATGAACCTGTTATGATAATTGGTTTTTAAAATTTTATTGTGGTAAAATATGTATAAAACATAAAATTTACCATTTTAGCAATCTTTAAGTATACAGTCCTTTGGCATTAAGCACATGCAAGTTGTTATTGCAACAATCACCATCATCTACCTCCAGAACTTTTTCATCTTCTCCAACAGAAGAAACTCTATACTCATTAAACGTTACCTCCCCATTCTTTCCTTTCCTGTAACCCTTGGCAACTACCATTCTATTTTCTGTCGCTGTGAATTTGGCTATCCAGATACACCACGTAAGTGGAATCATACAATATTTGTCCTTTAGTGATAGCTCATTGTACTTAGCACAGTGTGGTCAAGGTTCACCCATGTTGTAGCATGTGTCAGTATGTCCTTCTTTTTAAAGGCTGGGTAATATTCCATTGTGTGTATTGTATAGACCATATTTTGTTTATCCATTCATCCATCAGTAGTCACTTGAGTTGCTTCCACCTTTTGTCCATTGTGAATTACATCACTGTTAAGCATGAGTATACAAATATCTGTTTGAGTCTTTAATTTCTTTGGGATATATTCCCAAAAGGGAATTGCTAAATCATATGGTAATTCTGTGTTTAATATTTTTTTTTTTAGCAATTGTCACGCTGTTTTCCATAGTGGCTACACCATTTAATATTCCCACTAGCAATGTACAAGAATTCCAGTTTCTACATATCCTTGCCAATACTTGTTACTTTATTTTTTTTAATATTGGGAATCCTAATGGGTGTACAGTGGTATCTTATCTATTTTTTATTTGCATTTCACTAATAATTAGCAATAATCATGTGTTTATTGGCCATTTGCATATTTTCTTTGGAAAAATGTCTATTCAAGTCCTTTGCCCATTTTTAGACTGGATTATTTGTTTTTGTTGTTACTAAGTTTAGGAGTTATTTTACATTTTGGATATCCATTCCTTATAAGATGTATGATTGGTAAATATTTTCTATCATTCCATGGGTTGCCTTTTATTTCTGTTGGTTGCATCTTTTGATGCACAAATTTTAAAAAATTTTGGTTAAGTTCAATTTATCTATTTTTTTCTTGTTGCCTATGCTTTTTGAGTAATATTAAGAAAGCATTGCCCAATCCAGTATTAAGAAGCTTTATAGTTTTAACTCTTATGTTTAGTATTTCATCTATTTGGGTTAATTTTTATATATGGCATAAAGTCAGGGCCCAACTTCATTCATTCGCTTGCAGATATCCAGTTTTACCAACATCAGTATTGAACCAACTGTCCTTTTCCCATTGAATGAATGATCTTGGCACCTTTTGAAAAAAAAAATCGTTTGACCATGTATGCAAGAGTTTCTTTCTGGGATCACTGTTTATGCCAATTGCTTTTAAATTAATTTTAAATTTTAGAATAATTTTGGAATTATAGAAAAGTTGGAAAGATAATAGAGTTCCAGTATACCCTTCAACTAGTTTTCCCTATTGTTAATATCTTACATTACCACAGTACATTTCTCAAAATTAAGGAACCAACATTAGTATATTGCTGTGAACTAAACTCCATACTACTTACATGTCATCAAGTTTTTCATTAATGTTTCAGGATCCAGTGAGAATAATATATTGTGTCTAGTTGTCATGTGTCCCCAGTTTCCTCTGATCTATGTCAATTTCTCAATCATGTTTTTCATTATCTTGAGAATCTTGAGGGGTACTGGCCAGGTATCCAATAGAATGCCCCCAAATCTGGGTTTCTCCAATGTTTTTATCATTATTAGACTAGAGTTATGAATTTTCTAATGAATATTACAAAGGCAAAGTGGCCTTATTATTACGTCATATGAAAGATACATGACATCCCCATGGATTCACCAATGATGTTAATTTTCACTGTTTATTAAGGTAGTGTTTGCTTGGTTTCTTCACTGTGAAGTTACTATTTTTCTCATTCTATGCTCTATTCATTAGAAATAAGTCACTAATTCTAGTCCATACTCAGTAGGAAGATAATTAGGCTCTACCTCCTGAAGGGGAAAATCTACATATACTATATGGAATTCCTAGCTAAGAATTTGTCTTTTCTTCTCACTTATTTGATTATTAAAGCATTTATTTACATCAGTATGGGCACAGAGGTATATGTTTTATACTTTGGGCTATAAACCAATATTTCACTATTTATTTGATGCTCAAATTATTTCAGCTTTGGCCTATGGGGGCTCTGTCAGGATGGCTCCTGTGTTCTTCTGGCACACCCTACAATTCTTTGTTTTCTGTTCTATTACTACAAGATGATCCAGGCTTATCTTGTATTTTCCTTACCCCAGCTCTGGAATCAGCCTTACTGCAAGGGTATTTGGTTTCTCCCCTATTTTGGAATTTAAAAACCAAGATCTGACGCAAATAAATTTTTTCAATGCTACTTAATGCTTTTTATTTAGAGATAATATGTTGGCTTTCTATTTTGATAGGGTTAATGTTTTGTTAATTGTCACTTAGAAATGTATTCAATATGAAGAGAATTATTTGTATCACCTTTCATACACAAAGGTGATACTACCAATATGGAATTAATATGAAATATGCTTTGCATTACTTTCCCAGTAGTGGTGATGAATTGTTAGTGATTCATCCATATCCCTTGGCTGGAGAAATAGAAGTGGAAACACTGAACTCATCAGGCCAGCTTTTTCTCAACAAAATCAAAGCCATTCAAGCAGTGTAATCAACATACGAGTCCTGTGGTTTTATTAAACAAAGAATTTACCTTTATGATTTATCCCTATTATAGACACTGTCTTAAAGTTACTTATAGTTCTTGGAAAATTCACCATCTGGAGAATTCCAAATTTTCCAGAAAAAACTTGCCTTGAGGACAGATCTTGGAAAATAATTGCCCACTGGAGGCTTTTGTTTTGTTTTGTTTTTTAACTCCTTTTGGTTAGACTTTGAATCAAGTATTTTTTACTTTGCAAAATACATAGCTTGGGGTAATTTTAAAAAAAAATTATTTTTCCATTGTTATTTTTTAAAAGTCTTTGAAATACAGAAAGTGGTGTATTTGTTCATATCTTTGAACTTTAAAAAATTAATCAATACTACTTATCCAATTTAATTCCATGTTTTTAAAAGACATAAAATTATTTTTCTTTTAATGAAAGTGGTAATAATGTACTATTTAGCATATTTATCAGTCTAATTAATCAAAAATTGAATGAAAGAAAAAAGATTTTTAGGATACATATAAATCTTTTCATCTAAAATATAGTACGCATTCCTATCAGTACATATAATTCATTCTATGCCTTTGAAACTCAACTTTAAATGACCTTTAGACTTTTAGAAGAAACAAGAAATGTACTTACTTTTGCAATTACTGGAAATAATACTGAACATAATAGAGGAAAAATTATGGGTCTATTAGGTACTATGCAAGATCTAATTCCCTGTTTCCCCTATGTGAGGAATGAATGAAGACTTAGATTGTTTATTTTCTTCTACTTTTCAGTGGTTGAAGTACAATTCTTATAGCCTTAAATACTGAGTAGGAATTTTTGGAGTTTGATTCTTCTATTTAAAAAAATCCTAGCCAAATGATTTTGATTAATTGAGTCTGTATAAAAATAAAAATCTCTAATGGTTACCATGGGTTTATCATTTCTTCTATGGTCCACATACAGCCTCATTCTGCACACAGAATTCTCATTATTGTCTATTGTCTTCCAATCTGCACTGCTTTTTCCATTGGACAGTAAGCTTTCAGTTGTGAAATTAAACAAGATATATAGTAGTGATGATAAAGTAGCATGTATACATTCATTGTGATTGCTACCAGTTTATTTGTGTCTTTGTAATACAAAGGGGGCTTTCAGGATTGGATACCATATGTGCAAAAGCTAAACTAACAGGCTTTTATATACTCTCTATGTGCTTATTGATTCATTATATAAATAAATAAATGCAAATAGTTCAAATTTGCATTAGGGATACCTTAGGAACATCTCTCATTCAGTTCTAAGCTCTAAACTTTATACTACCAAATTTTGTCTTGAATAAACAAGCCAAACCAAGACAAAAACTGTGCATTCACTTAAGGTAGTGAATAATATAAGTATGTCTTATGTAAGCAGGCCAGTCTTTGTATTTCTAGGTACTTTTTGATATCAGGATAAGTAGATGACCTCATTGACCCTATTATAAATTGGTTTTAGTAGAAACAATAATGTTTGTAAGCAAATTTTTATTCCCAGACTGCCTGTTTACCCTATAAGATAACCATCTGAAATACCTTACCTGATGCATGGTCAAGAATAAGTTGAACAAAGAAATCATTTGTGTTAAACTCCCTTGTGATTTCTTCATTTTATTGTTATATGTAATTTTCAGCTATAGTATTCTTTTGAACTGTAGTTGTGGTCAAAAATGTCAGCCAGAAAAGCTATGAAAAGCTTGGACAAACCACTCAGGTAATTTTCCAATTAAGAAGAATAGGTTCCCCAAATCCCATTTTAATTGAGAAACTGCCTGGGTAAGTAAATTCTTCCCCTGTCCTATCAAAAACCCAGGATAAATGGGAAAATATTAATGAGGTGTTAGTGAAGGGGACTGTAATGTGATAACAACAAAACTAGGTGAAACAGATAAATATAGAAACATATAATCAGTGTTATGCTGTACTTAGTCTAAACCAGCAATATAATCATTCAGTTGAAATATTAAATCCACAAACACCATTGAGAGGGAGATCCACTATGGTTGGTTTACAGATAAGGCAGGTGTAGGTAACTTCCCAATTTTTGTTCTATTAATCTATGTAATCTATATTTCTACAAATGGGATTTTTCCTATTTTATTTGTACTAAAAAGTAGCAACAACAGTTTTAGTGCTAGTCTTAACATGATTGTAATGTAATCAGCAGGGTTTTACAAATTGTCTCAAAGGTTAATCTTGGTGATCATCACATTATACTCATTCTTATCAGTTATATTTAGTGGCAGATTGCAAGCTTTCCTTATTATCTTGGTAAATCAAGAGGTGAAAGCCTTTCAAGCCTTCTCTTTTTAAACATCTTTTATTAATGCTAATATGCCAGATGGGAGAAATTAAAATGGTTCTGTTCTTCATGCTGCTGCTACCCACAATTTTACCACATCATTTGCTGGTTAAGGAAGCATATGAAAATGATAGGTAGAGCACACAATTGTAAAAGTTCGGAAATGATGAAATTCCTTGTCTAAGGAAAACCGTTTTTTATTTGACTAGGTAAAAAAAATACCATCACTTTCCAAACATACATAAGAAACACTGACAAAGATGGAATTAATACACTTGGAACTCATATGCTGCATCATTTTTTCCCAGCTACTCATGTTTACCTTAATCTTAAATGCCAACCAATAGCCAGCAAGATGATTATACAAGAATAATCCCCCTTGATCCATAGGGGTAATTGTCCAGAGCAACTAAGTTTATGTAAATGTTGCTTCTTTCCCATTTTCTTATCCTTTGGGAAATCAGTGGCTCTTGCAAGTGCCTATTTACTCTTTTTACAGGTCTTAGGAAATATGTACAAATATTTTGGCAGGTTATAGAATCACTTTCCTGCCTATCGATAACTATCTAGGAGAGTGTTTTCAATCCTTTAACTTTGCCGTAGACACATCCACATAAAATTTGGATTCTAAGCAATTCACATAGTCTGAATAATTACTCAATCTGATCTCTAAGTCTTAGGAAGCAACACTGGGAAGCACATAAAGAGTGGCTTTATGATAAAGATAAGCTTGAATTGACTAACTTTTGCTTAAGTTAAATCATTTGTTAACTTCAGTGTATAATAATATTTAATAATAATTAAATGCAATCTGAAACAAATTATGTTCTACCCACCCTCTTAACTGATTAGGTCTTTCTGGTTGAGAACTATGAGTTTGGAAAAGATAACGAAACTTTTATGTTCTTTAAGCGAGAAGATCAGGATTGTCAATGCTGTCATTGCTTTTACTGGAATCCCCAGCACGAATTGAAGGTGAGTACAGGATTTTTCTTTCACTCTGTTCTTAAATTAGAAAGCACTCCCTGTTTTTCACTCTCCTACTCTGATTTGACTGTACAGTTCTCTATACATCTCTTTCCTGTATTTCTTCCCAAGTCCAGGTTTGACCAGAGACAAAGAAGCAAATGCTATCAATTAACATTCACATGTGGTAGGTAAGTCTGTAAGTTGCTTTGGACTTTACTTGCCTCAGATATCTTAGATCCAAAGTGGGGAGAAAGTGGATAAAGGTCAATGTCAGTTGTTGAAAAGGGAATCATAGGGAGGTCAAAAGCACAGTAAAACTGGAGTCAAAATGCCTGTGTTCAAGGTCAGAATCTTAAAATTTTTTAGTGTGCCATCTCTGGTGAGTTACTTACTTAATAATTTCTTTGAGCTTCGTTTTCTTTCCTTTCTTTCTTTCTTTCTTTCTTTCTTTCTTTCTTTCTTTCTTTCTTTCTTTCTTTCTTCTTTCTTTTCTTTCTTTCTTTCTTTTTTTTTGAGACGGAGTTTCACTCTTTTTGCTCAGGTTGGAGTGCAATGGCATGATCTTGGCTCACCATAACCTCCACCTCCCGAGTTCAAACAATTCTCGTGCCCCAGCCTCCCAAGTAGTTGGGATTACAGGCAGGCACCACGAAGTCCAGCTAACTTTTGTATTATTAGTAGAGACAGGGTTTCTCTATGTTGGTCAGGCTGGTCTCGAACTCCTGACCTCAGGTGATCTGCCCGCCTTGGCCTCCCAAAGTGCTGGGATTACTGGCATGAGCCACCATGCCCGGCCCATTTTCTTATTGATTGATTGTTACATAATATTTGTACATATTGATGGAGTGCATGTGATGTTTTGTTACAGACATAGAATGTGTAATGACCATCACAATCACCTCAAGAATTTGTCATTTCTATATGTTGGGAACATTTCAAGGTCTCTCTTGTAGCTATTTTGAAATATACAATACATTATTGTTAATTATAATTACCCTACTCTGCTATCAAACATGATAACTTATTCTTTCTATCAAATTGTATGTTTGTACCCATTAACCGACTTCTCTTCATTACTCCTCCAAAGTCTTCCCAGCTTATGGTATCTGTCATTTTACTCTCTACCTCCATGAGATCAACTTTTTATTTAGCTCCTACATGTGAGTGAGAACATGCAATATTTGTTTTCTCTGTTTCTGGCTTGTTTGATTTAACATAAAGACCTCTAGTTCCATCCATGTTGCTGCAAATGATGGGATTTCATTCTTTCTTATGGCTGAATAGTATTCTCTTGTCTATATATACCACATTTTCTTTATCAGTTGATCCCTTGATGGACGCTTAGGTGGATTTCATATTTTTGCTATTGTGAATAGTGCTGCAGTAAACATGATGGGTATCCTTTTGATATGCTGATGTCCTTTCCTTTGAATATATACCCAATAGTGGGATTGCTGCATCATATGGTAGCTTTATTTTTAGTATTTTGAGAAATCCTCATACTATTTTCTATAATGGCTGCACTAATTTACATTCTCACCAACAATGTATAGAAGTTTCCATGTCTCCACATCCTCACCAGCATCTTTTATTTTTTGCCTTTTTGATAATAGACATTCTACCTGAAGTAAGAGGATATCTCATCATGCTTTTGTCTTGCATTTCTCTGATGGTTAGTGATGTTGAGCATTTTTTCATATATCCATTGGCCATTTGTATGTCTTGCTTTGAGAAATGTTTGTTCATGTCCTTTGCCTACTTTTTAAAGGGTTTTTGTTTTGTTTTGTTTTGTTTTTTGCTGTTGAGTAGTTTGAGTTCCTTATATATTTTGAATACTGGTCCCTTGTCAGAATAGTTTGCAAATAAGCTTTATTTATTTATTTATTTATTTTGACGTGGAGTTTCGCTCTTGTTGCCTAGGATGGGGTGCAGTGGTGCAATCCTGGCTCACTGCAACCTCCGCCTCCCGGGTTCAAGTGATTCTCCTGCCTCAGTCTCCTGAATAGCTGGAATTACAGGCACCCACCACCATGCCTGGCTAATTTTTGTATCTTTTTTTTTTTTTTTTTTTTTAAGTAGAGACTGGATTTCACCATGTTTACCAGGCTGATCTCGAACTCCTGACCTCAGGTGATCCACCTGCCTTGGTATCTCAAAGTGCTGGGGTTACAAGCATGAGTCACTGTACCTGGCCTCATTTTTTTAATTACAGGCATTCATACACCCTTCAATCCATTCATTTAACAACAACTATTTTTTGAGGACAAATGATATGTCTGAAACTTTATTTTCTTTATAGGATTATTGATGTTGCTGTAAGAACCATATGAAATATAAATATGTGTAATATAAATGATGATTATGTTTTTCATATGGCTTATTCTGCAAAGACATACATAAAGATTTTTATTGGCTCTTGTGCATGTAGTTTGCCTTTTGTATTGATCTTACTTCTTAATTTAATTTTCATATTATTTAAAATATCAATGGTATGTAAGTACACATCTTGAAAAATAACCAAGAAGTTATTACAATCTGTAAAGAAGAGAGTATATTTGGAATTCAGTTTTACATCTAATTTTGCTGCATACTTACTTCTGATGAAGAAACAAATCTCCCCCCAAAAATTACCTCACCACTGCCACCAACATGGGCAATAATATAACAGGAACAAAGCACTATTTTTTGCCAACAGCTAGGAAGATTTATTTCCATTCTTCTTTTATACAGGTCTTTCAGACTACATATGGAATCTAATGAATATGGAAATCACCTACCATTAATATAATTGAATATTAAAGTTATAATGAACTATGCACAACTGCCAAAATTTAAAATTACAATGTTAGGACTTCTCTATTTAAGATATATCTGCCTTTTATAAATTGTTCCCAGCAATTTGTATTTTCATAAAAACAACATACAGTGTTGTTCAACTTCTGCCCTTGTAATTCTCAGGCTGTTTTTCCATTGCCACAGTCTGCTAAACCTCTATTCCTTTTTAACAATTTTTGAGAAAGAAATACGCACAACCACTAGAACCATAACAAGACGAAGCTGTGTAAGATAGACACTAATGGTGGGAGGGACACCGCTAAGGCAGTATAGCTGATTTCATTTCTAAGTAAGAAAAAGGCCACACTCATACAGCAGACCAAATAAGATGCACATGGTAAATGACAGCAGAGCAGTGGACCCAGGAACTGGTATTAAGGCAGCAAAGTCCTAGATGTCAGATAGCTCTATTTTTCAGTCCTCTTTGCTAAATGTCTTTCATAAATTCATTAGAGTTACAAAAATTGCCTAAAAAGGAATTAAATTTCAGTTTCTGTAATTCATTTTCAAAACAGCAAAAGAATATATTTGCTCCATAAAAATTGTATTAGTTGGCATTCACTGATGCCAACTCTGGTCTCTTAGCTATCCCAATCATCTTCCATGGCTCTTCATATTTTTATTTTAGGAGAATTCCAAAATCTGCTTGGAGAAAGTATGCTCAAAGATTTATCTCACAAACATAATTTTTTTTGCATGTGGGGATAAAGAAGGAGATTTAAGATAACATAAAAGACTACTACATGTTTGGACTAGTTAATGAAGTTATTAAGGCAGGTTGCTGGTAGCACTGATAGATATATATAGTTGAATTTAAAGAGGAAAATATGGCCTATAATAGCTGATTGTACTGCAAAGTCTGGCTTGATATGAGGCTGCAGAGACATTGATGCAAAACCTCCCTCATTTATTAGGAAGTAGTCAGGGAAATTGGATTAAAAACTAATCTGGGGAAAAAACGACCTGATAGATTGTCTTCCCATGAAAGCCTTGACCAAAAAGGCCTTCATTTTAGCCATAGAAAAGATTCATTCAACCATCATGTTTAGGGCCTGCTAGACACTATCCAAAGTTAAGTTGCTTTTATTCTGTTCTTATTTTGCCCATGTGCATTCATCTTCTGTACACTGTGGCAACCAGAAATTTGTCAATGTCAAGGAAAACACTCAGTATATGGAGGCTGTGCAATATGACTTTGTTTAGGTCTATGTGCAGGTAACCTAGCACCAGATTGGAAAACTTGTCAAAAACATTCACCTTACTTGAATCTGGAAGGTTTGAAACACTTTCCATAATAAATAATGCATTTTAAAGACTATGGAAATATAATGATGAGAATTTATATAGCACTCTACACAGCTTTTTAGAGAGTATTTTCACTGCAAACTGTTAAGATACGTTATGTAAGTATGTGTATTATTATCCTTGCATGCTGACAGTAAACCTGAGGTTCAGAGAAAGGAAATGGGCTTTCCAAAATTGCACAGGTAGTAAATGTGGACCCAGGACTCAAAACCAGTAGTTCAGAATCAAAATTCTATGCTCACTATATTCTATACTGCTGCCTTTCTTCTCCAATGCAGTAAGTCAAATAAATTAAGTGTATAAGCACTTTTTCTCAAGATTAATTTATTTTATTAAGAAGCAGGAAGTATAGTGTAGGCTTTTCTTCTAAGGAAGGCTGGCTATATTTTCAGGATCCAAAAATTGAATGGCCTAGACATACCTCAGTGTATCTAGATACATTTTGAGACCTCTCTGGAAATAATATTTTGATTTTTGAGGGCAGGGAGCACGCTAATCTTGTTTTAAACATTCTTAAGTGACTGTGATACATTTTGTGCAATGAACACAATTAATTGGCAGACAAATGATCAATTGGTTCACATTACTCTAAATTAAAAGTGAATGTCACTTAAAAGTGGGTATGCTAATATCATAAGCAAATTGTTTTTATATACTTATTTCAATTATTTGTTGATCATTTTCACTTAAAAGATTCATTTTTAAACCTAAAGAAACTGATACGAATGAAATAATTGATTTGTTGAATAGGAAACCTCTGGTAGATCTGGATTTAAAACTCTGATTGCTCACTCTTGTGTTGTCTAAGGAGCCATTCTAGCTGTGCATTACATCTTCTTCCAAAACAAATGGTGAAACTGAAGTTCAGGATAGTCTCCTTGTTAGAGAAGGACAAGGCAGGCTATTTTGTGTACAGACTCAGTTGAGTTTTTCTGAATGACTTTGTTCCAATGTCAAATAAAAAACTGAAGTACACACTAAATTGAATTAATACTTCTCTTATACCACTTCCTGCTTTTGATTCAAGTGTTAAATATATGAATAATTTCAAGTGAGGCACTATATGTATATATATTTTCAAATGTCTTCATAAAGAATACTTTTATGATAAGGTCACACCCTATCAAACAAAGAAGTTTAGAGTTCTATGACAATACATGTGATTTAGCTTGCTGCAAATTAAAAAGACAAGTCTTAATTAAGATAAAAATAGTAAATTGCCTAAATATTGAACACATGTATGAGAATATATTAAATCAATGACTAACAAATGCTTTTGAAATCTGGATAAATATTTAAAGAGTTTATTCAATTAAAGCCTACAAAAGATATAACCTATAAATACAACTGTTGAAACTGGCTTTATTTTTTATAACTATGAATATGTTGCACTTAATATTCTTCTAATAGTTTATTTTGCCAAATGTGCTAACTTGAAGAGCTATATCAAGCTTTTCAAATGGTGAGCTGCAGAGTAGGTGCCGCTCACCCCACTGCTTGGTGGGAGGGGTGTGTTGAGGAGGGAGGAGGCTGCCTTGCTCTTTCCCCACCATGTTGTATTCCCTTCCACCCTTCTCTTTTCTTGACTCCTCACCTTCCTTTCCTTGTGTCTTCTTTCTTTCTAAAACCATTTATGGAGCACTTTTTATGATATAGGTACCTTGCCAGATGCTGAGGATAAAATGATGACTAAGATATTCACAGTACTGCCTTCTTGGAGCTTAAAGATGATGGAGAAATCAAACTGGCAAACTGGCAATTACAACTCATCAGAGCAGATTCACTAAAGGGGAAATAAGAAGGGCTATGGGGTCCCCTAATCAATACCTTGAGGATAAGAAGAAGCTTTTTGGAGGAAATTACATCTAAACAGATGGAAAATTTATCATTTATTCTTCTTTAAGAGTTTCCTATTTTTTGAAAAATTAACATGCCACTCAAATCTTTTCTGCTTCAGCTTTATTTGCCATTGTATCCCTGCACATGCCTCAGACTGCAGCCCATATTCACAGTTGCCTTCCCTAATCTTAGTCTCCCTCTCCAGTTGCACTCACTTCACCTTATTTGGTATTATAGTTGTTTCCATGCGTTTCTTCAACTGGAAATCAAGGACTGATTCTTATTTTCCTTCTTAGTCTTCCATTTACAAACTCTGTTCCCCAAACCAAGTTTTTATCATTCTGTCTAGCACAGAAGTCTTTGATGGAATTAAAACAATTTATGAATTTTTTTCGTTTTCTCATTCAAAGAATTGATTATCTATCACACGCATGAAAAAGAATACAAAGGTAAACATTACCAATAAATAAACACATCTAATGGAGGAGATCAGATATATTTCTCAATAGGTTTAATTTAAAATTAGATTATAACACTCGTTCATCTGTTCAACAGATGTTTATTAAATGCCTACTGTGTGCGAGTCCCCATTGTCAGAAACCTTACATTCTGATGGAAGAATATTGACAAGCAAATGAATAAAATGAATGTGATGAATTCACATAGTGATAAAAATGCTAATAAAAATGAAATGACATGGTAAATAATAGGATAGAAGATGTTTGAAAAGGTTGTGACAGGTCAAGGCATCAAGGAAGGTCTCTGTGAATAGGTGCCATTTGAACTAAGATATGAATGTTGAGAAGGAGTCAGCTATGGGATGATCTGAGAGAAGGGAATTCCAGATGGAGGTGATAGCAAATGCAAAGAACTTGTTTGACTTTTTTGAGGAAAATAAAGGAATACAGTAATACTGATGCCCAGTGTCTAGGAAAACAATGATTTGAAAGGAAGTTGTTGGAGAAGGAATGGATTTGATTGTTATAACATCTTATAGGCTATGGTAAGGAGTCTGGGATTTCTTTTAAATTCAATTAAAAAAAAAAAACACCAAAGAACTTCAAATAAGTGAGAAAGAAACATTATCTTATTTACATATTAAAAAGGAAGTTCCAAATTCTGTGTGGAGAATGAATTTTAGGGAGAGGAAGATGGAGACAGGGAGCATTGGTTGGAGGATCTTACAGTGGTCCATGAAAAGGATAATGGTGCCTTGAACAGAAAAGATAAGAGAGGATAGAGAGAAATGGCCAAAGTGGAGATATTCTTTGGGGGTAGATTCAGCAAGACTTGATAGGTTGAGTGCCAAAAAGAGAAGAGGTGAATTCATCAGTGACTCTTCATGTCATGAGTATTCAAAATAAGAATTATGGGGTGTGGAGCAAATACTAGCTTTCCTAATGTAATTGTTCACAATGCGAGTCCTTACAGATCCTAGAGTGAGTGGGTGGTAGTGGTTGAAGTTTTTATATTACTTCAGTAAGTCTAAGAAGAAGTATGTATAGATTTACTCTTGATTAGGCAATGGAGATAACTATGGTCTTTGCTTTGGATGGGAATTAGACTAATTCAATGCTTTAAATTTAATGTTTTTAAAAAACTTAAGTGTAGTTTGTGTCATTAAGTAGATCTTTCAAAATACAGGACCTATGGTGGAGAATATTTAAGGATAGAAATCCTTGATGCCAAAAGTTTGGAACACTCATATTTTGGGTATTTTAGTGAGCTGGGTCAACTCTTCTCTTTCTTGCTTATCCTATTTGCTTACCAGTTGTTCTTCTCCACTCTGTTGGCTTTTTTTTTCTAAAGTAACAAGGAATGCCAGTGACTACCAAGTAATTGTATGTGAGTTTGGGGAGCTTCAAAACAAATAGCTTTTATAAAATAGTATTATTTTATTATCCACATTCCAATTTCTCTTATTTTCAACATTAATTCTAAAAGTTTCTTTTAAAAAATTGACCCTCTAATGGAGAAGCAATATGATTCCATGAAGTATAATTGAAATTACATATTTTCCCCATCATAACTAATGTATCAGCTTTAAAGTCTTATATATATGTATTTCCAGTGGGATGAGAATTTTTAGGAGACTGAATAAAACATTACAGTGGTCTGAAGTGGTAATGAAGATTCTATCACTGAATTACAGTGCATTGGCAACTCTGTCATAGATTTACTATTTGATCCTGTACAAGTCACTTGAATTCTTCCTTCAGTTTCTCACTTACAAAATGGTAAAGCAAAGAACTCCTGATGAAACATGAAGAATATTAGATCACATAAAAAAAGATAAAAAGGAAAATGAGGAGCTGGCAAGATGGCCAAATAGGAACAGCTCCAGTCTGCATCTCCCAGTGAAATCAATGCAGAAGGCAGGTGATTTCTGTATTTCCAACTGAGGTACCTGGCTCATCTCATTCGGACTGGTTAGACAGTGGGTGCAGCCCACGGAGGTCGAGCAGAAGCAAGGTGGGGCATCACCTCATCTGGAAAGCACAAGGGGTCAGGGAACTCCTTCCCCTAGCCAAGGGAAGCCATGAGGGACTATGCCTTGAGGAACGACGCACTCTGGCCCAGATAGTACGCTTTTCCCATGGTCTTTGCAAACCCACAGACTAGGAGATTCCCTCGGGTGCCTACGACTCCAGGGCCCTGGGTTTCAAGCACAAAACTGGGCAGCCACTTGGGCAGACAGCGAGCTGGCTGCAGGAGTTTTTTTTTTGTACCCCAGTGGCACCTGGAATGCCAGTGAGACAGAACTGGTTACTCCCCTGGAAAGGGGGCTGAAGCCAGGGAACCAAGTAGTCTAGCTCAGTGGATCCCACCCCCACAGAGCCCAGCAAGCTAAGATCCACTGGCTTGAAATTCTTGCTGCCAGCACAGCAGTCTGTAGTCAACCTGGGATGCTCAAGCTTGGTGTGGGGAGGGGTGTCCACCATTACTGAGGCCTGAGTAGGTGGTTTTCCCCTCACAGTGTAAACAAAGCCACCTGGAAGTTTGAACTGGGTGGAGCCCACCACAGCTCTGTAAAGCCGCTGTAGCCAGACTGCATCTCTAGATTCCTCCTCTCTGCGAAGGGCATCTCTGAAAGAAAGGCAGCAGCCCCAGTCATGGGCTGATAGATCAAACTCCCATCTCCCTGGGACAGAACACCTGGGAGAAGGGGTGACTGTGGGCGCAGCTTCAGGGGACTTAAATGCTCCTGCCTGCTGGCTCAGAAAAAAGCAGCAGATCTCCCAGAACAGCACTCAAGCTCTGCTAAGGGACAGACTACCTCCTCAAGTGGGTCCCTGAACCTCTGCCTCCTGACTGGGAGACAACTGCAGTAGGGGTTGATAGACACCTCATACAGGAGAGCTCCGGCTAGCATCTGACAGGTGCCCCTCTAGGACAAAGCTTCCAGAGGAAGGAACAGGCAGCAATCTTTGCTGTTCTACAGCCTCCGCTGGTGATACCTTGGCAAACAGGGTCTAGAGTGGACCTCCAGCAAACTCCAGCAGACCTGCAGCACAGAGGCCTATTAGAAAGAAAATTAACAAACAGAAAGGAATAGCATCAACATCAACAAAAAGGATGTCCCCACAGAAATCCCATCTGAAGGTTACCAACATCAAAGACCTAAGGTAGATAAATCCATGAAGATGAGGACAAACCAGTGCAAAAAGGCTGAAAATTCCAAAAACCAGAATGCCTCTTCTCTTCGAAAGGATCACAGCTCCTCACCAGCAAGGGAACAAAACTGGATGGAGAATGAATTTGACAAATTGATGGAAGTAGACTTCAGAAGCTGGGTAATAACAAACTCCTCTGAGCTAAAGGAGCATGTTCTAACCCAATGCAAGGAAGCTAAGAACCTTGAAAAAAAGTTACAGGAATTGCTAACTAGAATAAGCAGTTTAGAGAAGAACATAAATGACCTGATGGAGCTGAAAAACATGAAAGCATGAGAATTTTGTGAAGCATACACAAGTATCAATAGCCGAATTGATCAAGAAGAAGAAAGGATATCAGAGATTGAAGATCGACTTAATGAAATAAAGTGTGAAGACAAAATTAAAGAAGAAAGAATGAAAATGAATGAACAAAGCCTCCAGGAAATATGGGATTCTGTGAAAAGACCAAACCTACATTTGATTAGTGTACCTGAAAGTGATGGGGAGAATATAATCAAATTGGAAAACACTCTTCAGGATATTATCCAGGAGAACTTCCCCGATCTAGCAAGATAGGCCAACATTCAAATTCAGAAAGTACAGAAAACACCACAAAAATACTCCTCAAGAAGAGCAACCCCAAGACACATAATCGTCAGATTCACCAAGGTTGAAATGAAGGAAAAAATGCTCAGGGCAGCCAGAGAGAAAGGTCGGGTTACTCACAAAGGAAGCCCATCAGACTAACAGCAGATCTCCCTGCAGAAACCCTACAAGTGAGAAGACAGTGGGGGCCAATATTCAACATTCTTAAAAAAAAAATAGAATTTTAAACCCAGAATTTGCTCTCCAGCCAAACTAAGCTTCATAAGCGAAGAAGAAATAAAATTCTTTACAGACAAGCAAAGGCTGAGAGATTTTGTCATCACCAGGCCTGCCTTATAAGTGCTCCTGAAGGAGGCACTAAATATGGAAAGGAAAAACTGGTACCAGCCACTGCAAAAACATACCAAATTGTAAAGACCATCGACACTATGAAGAAACTGCATCAACTAACAGGCAAAATAAACAACTAGCATCATAATGACAGGATCAAATTCTTAGAGACCTACAAAACAGCAAGTTCTTAGAGACCTATGAAGAGACTTAGACTCCCACACAATAATAGTGTGAGACTTTAGCACCCCACTGTCAATAATAGATCAACAAGACAGAAAGTTAACAAGGATATTCAGGACTTGGACTCAACTCTGGACCAAGCGGACCTAATAGACATCTATAGAACTCTCCACCCCAAATCAACAGAATATACATTCTTCTCAGCACCACATCACACTTATTCTAAAATCAACCACAAAATTGGAAGTAAAACACTCCTCAGCAAATGCAAAAAATTGAAAATTGTAACAAACAGTCTGTCAAACCACAGTGCAATCAAATTAGAACTTCGGATTAAGAAACTCACTCAAAACCACACAACTACATGGAAACTGAACAACCTGCTCCTGAATTTACTTGGTAAATAACAAAATTAAGGCAGAAATAAATAAATTATTTGAAACCAATGAGAACAAAGACACAGCGCACCAGAATCTCTGGGACACAGCTAAAGCAGTGTTTAGAGGGAAGTTTATAGCACTAAACGCCCAAAGGAGAAAGTAAGAAAGATATAAAATCAACACCCTAACATCACAATTAAAAGAACTAGAGAATCAAGAACAAACAAATTCAAAAGCTAGCCGAAGAGAAGAAATAACTAAGATCAGAGCAGAACTGTAGGAGATAGAGAGATGAAAACCCCTTCAAAAAATCAATTAATCCAGGATCTGGTTTTTTTTAGATTAACAAAATAGATAGACCAATAGCCAGATTAATAGAGAAGAAAAGAAAGAAGAATCAAATAGACACAATAGAAAAATGATAAAGGGGATATCACCACTGATACGACAGAAATACAAACTATGATCAGAGAATACTATAAACACCTCTACACAAATAAACTGGAAAATCTAAAAGAAATGAATAAATTCCTGGATACATGCACCATCAGAAGACTAAACCAGGAAGAAGTCAAATCCCTGAATAGACCAATAACAAGTTCTGAAATTGAGGCAGTAATTAATGGCCTACCAACCGAAAAAAGATTCACAGCCAAATTCTACCAGAGTTACAAAGAGGAGCTGGTACCATTCCTTCTGAAACTATTCCAAACAATAGAAACAAAGGAACTCCTCCCTAACTCATTTTCTAAGGTCAGCACCATCCTGATACCAAAACCTGGCAGAAACACAACAAAAAAAAGAAAATTTCAGGCCAATATCCCTGATGAACTTCGATATGAAAATCCTCAATAAAATACTGGCAAAACGAATCCAGCAGCAAATCAAAAAGCTTATCCACCACCATTAAGTTGGCTTCATCCCTGGGATGCAAGGCTGGTTCAACATATGCAAATCAATAAAAGTAATCCATCACATAAACAGAACCACATGATTATCTCAGTAGATGCAGAAAAGGCCTTCAATAAAATTCAACCCTCCTTCATGCTAAAAACTCTCAAAAAACTAGGTATTGATGGAACCTATCTCAAAATAATAAAAGCTATTTATGTCAGGCCCACAGCAGCAAATCAAAAAGCTTATCCACCACCATCAAGTCAGCTTCATCCCTGGGATGCAAGGCTGGTTCAACATACGAAAATCAATAAAAGTAATCCATCACATAAACAGAACCACATGATTATCTCAATAGATGCAGAAAAGGCCTTCAATAAAATTCAACTCCCCTTCATGCTAAAAACTGTCAAAAAACTACGTATTGATGGAACATATCTCAAAATAATAAGAGCTATTTATGACAGACCCACAGCCAGTATGATACTGAATGGGCAAAAGCTGGAAGCATTCCCTTTGAAAACCAGCACAAGACAAGGATGTCCTCTCTCACCACTCCTATTCAACATAGTGTTGGAAGTTCTGGCCAGGGCAATCAGGCAAGAGAAAGAAAGAAAGGGTATTCAAATAGGAAGAGAGGAAGTCAAATTGGCTGTGTTTGCAGATGACAAGATTGTATATTTAGAAAACCCCATTGTCGCAGCCCAAAATCTCCTTATGCTGATAAGCAACTTCAGCAAAGTCTCAGAATACAAAATTGACGTGCAAAAGTCACAAGCATTCCTATACACCAATAATAGGCCAACAGGGAGCCAAATCATGAGTGAACGCCCATTCACAATTGCTACAAAGAGAATAAAATACCTAGGAATACAACTTACAAGGGATTTGAAGGACCTCTTCAAGGAGAACTACAGACCACTGCTCAAGGAAATGAGAGAGGACACAAACAAATGGAAAAACATTCCATGCTCATTGGTAGGAAGAATCAATGTCGTGAAAATGGCCATACTGCCCAAAGTAATTATAAATTACTTTCAATGCTATCCCCATCAAGTTACCAATGACTTTCTTCACAGAATTAGAAAAAACTACTTTAAATTTCATATGGGACCAAAAAAGAGCCCTCATAGCCAAGACAATCGTAAGCAAAAAGACCAAAGCTGGAGGCATCACACTACCTGACTTCAAACTATACTACAAGGCCACAGTAACCAAAATAGCATAGTACTGGTACCAAAACAGATATATAGACCAATGGAACAGAAAAGAGGCTTCAGAAATAACAGCACACATCTACAGCCATCTGTTCTTTGACAAACCTGACAAAAACAAGCAATGGAGAAACAATTCCCTATTTAATCAATGATGTTGGGAAAACTGGCTAGCCATGTGCAGAAAACTGAAACTGGTTCCTTACACCTTATACAAAAATTAACTCAAGATGGAATAAAGACTTAAATGTAAGGCCTAAAACCATAAAAAACCTAGAAGAAAATCTAGGCGATAACATTCAGGACATAGACATGGGCAAAGACTTCATGACTAAAACACCAAAAGCAATGGCAACAAAAGCCAAATTGACAAATGGGATCTAATTAAACTAAAGAGCCTCTGCACAGCAAAAGAAACTATCATCAGAGTGAACAGGTAACCTACAGAATGGGAGAAAATTTTTGCAATCATCCATCTGATGAAGGGCTAATATCCAGAATCTACAAAGAACTTAAACAAATTTACAAGAAAAAAACAAAGAATCCCATCAAAAAGTGGGCAAATGATATGAATGAACACTTCTCAAAAGAAGACATTTATGCAGCCAACAAACATATGGAAAAAAGCTCATCATCACTGGTCGTTAGAGAAATCTAAATCAAAACCACAATGAGATACCATCTCATGCCAGTTAGAATGGCGATCATTAAAAAGTCAGGAAACAACAGATGCTGGAGAGGGTGTGGAGAAACAGGAGTGCTTTTTCACTGTTGATGGGAGTATGAATCAGTTCAACCATTGTGCAAGACAGTGTGGCGATCCCTCAAGGATCTAGAACCAGAAATACCATTTGACCCAGCAATCCCATTACAGAGTATATACCCAAAGGATTATAAGTCTTTCTACTATAAAGACACATGCACACTTGTGTTTATTGCAGCACTGTTCACAATAGCAAAGACTTGGAACCAACCCAAATGGCCATCAATGATAGGCTGGATAAAGAAAATGTGTCACATATATACCATGGAATACTATGCAGCCATAAAAAGGGATGAGTTCATGTTCTTTGCAGGGACATGTATGAAGCTGGAAACTATCATTCTCAGCAAACTAACACAGGAACAGAAAACCAAACACTGCGTGTTCTCACTCATAAGTGGGAGCTGAACAATGAGAACACATGGACACAGGGAGGGGAGTATCACACACCAGGGCCTGTCAGGCGGTGGAGTCTAGGGGAGGGATAGCATTAGGAGAAACACATAATGTATATAATAGGTTAATGGGTGCAGCAAATCACCATGGCACATGCAAACCTGTGTAACAAACCTGCAGGTTCTGTACATGTATCTCAGAACCTAAAGCATAATAAAAAAGAAGGAAAATGAATAACTTAAACTACTCAATTAGGACTTTATATAATAGATCAAGAAGTGGAACTGGGGACAAAGTCTATTTTCTACCATATTTCTCAATCACTGTATTGATGTTTAATCATTTGTTTTATATTTATTGACTACTCATTATATACCAAGCACTGAAGGTATGAAAAATGTCATTTTATTTAATTTATTTTTTAATCTAAAGAATGTTCAGTTTTACTGAAGGAATTTTATCTATTACCAAGATAGAATAATTTGATTTACATTCATAGACTTTCAAAAATTATCTTATTGGTCTTCTTCTACTATGATATTATTTTATATACTACTTGGATAATTATAGAAATTGTTAGGTTCTGGTCAATGGCTTTGGAATTTCTACCCAGCTATAAAAGATCATTTTTATTTTTCTAAAAAGAAACAAATCATTACTAATGTATATGTGATGCTAGAGTACAGACAGCCACGCTGTCTTTGAAGTAGATGAAAGAAAAAAAAGAAGAGTATTTTTCTAATGTTTGTCACAGTTCTTGTTGGAAATGTGATTTTTTTCTTTTTTCTTTTTTTTCCCTGGCTGTTTGGAAATAAAGAGCCCATGGAAAATGTTTGTGCACACTGTCGTTTAATTTTTTTTTTATTTTTTGAGACAAGGTCTCACTTTGTTGCCCAGGCTGGAGTGTAGTGGCGCCATCACAGCTCATTGCAGCCTCGACCTCCCAGGCTCAAGCAATTCTCCCACCTCAGCCACCCGAGGAATAGCTAGGAATACAGGCATTTGCCACCATGCCCAGCTAATTGTTGTATTCTTTGTAGAGACAGGGTTTCGCCGTGTTGCCCAGGCTGGCAAACTGTCCTTTAAATGTAATGATCTTGTGCATGTATTTTTGAACCTTATTTAGCAAGTTTACAGCTTAATAATTATTTTGGGGGAAATTATTCATATTACTTTTAACACACAATTACACCATGGAATGTACTTCATTCAATGTGAGATGGGAAATGTAAAGTATAAAGATCACTGGTTTTGTAGGGAACCTATCAATAAGGAAGTCAGGGCTTAGTTGATGATCGCCATGGTCATAGTACTGAATTCAGAGAGAAATGCAGATCCCATGAATTCAGAACTCAGTGCACTTCAGAGTGAAATGACTGTCTTGTAAAGCGATTTTCATATTAAGACTAACTCTTGTTAATACTGATGCAAAATCATATCCAACACCTTGTATTTATGTGATGCTTCACTTTTCTAAAAGGAATTTCAATTATTTGATATTACATTTCCAAACATGTATTGTGGTCCCACAGTAATTGGAATACAAAGAAAAAAAAAGTCACAGTACCTGCGTTGGAAGAGTGGGGAAGATAGACATATAAATATGCTAAAATACAATAACGCATGCTAAGTTCCATTAACTCTGGATGAGAAAGATGAAGAGGAAAGATGAAGATGCTACTAATTTTGATATGTTATTTGAGCCCCCTTGTACTGCTTAGAGATAAGGAGGGTGAGCATTGTTATCTGCTTTTGATGGTTGAGGGAAGATGTTTTCTATTGGGTGAAATGCTTTCCCTGAGGTCACACAGCTGCTTGTTAGAATAGCAGTCCCCCTGTGCTACTGCTCCCTGCACTCTGCAGCCCTGACCCAAATCAAACCTTGTATTCTAGCATAAAATTGCTCTGCTTCCTTAACCATACATGGTTGGTGCAAAGAAAATGTTAGTTGACAAAAGCTGTCCTGTTATGAGCTTTCTCTGATGTGAATTCAAATCACATTTCAGAGGCACATTTCAGGCGGGCTCTAAATAAGGCATCCTTGGTTTTTGCATTTTCATTAAAAAGAAGCCATGGTTTTCTGTACAGATATTTAATGAGATTTTATTCATATTTAAATATTTGAATAATTATATTTGCTTATATGGTAAAAGCAGATTTGAGGCAAATGGTTTTCGGCCAAAAACAGAACAATAACAATCCTGGTTCAATCAAACCATAGTTGGATTCAGTAAAGAAATAAAACAACTGGCATGTCTAGTTTCTAATTTTCTAGAACGGGAGCTCAGAGATATTTTAATCATATTCTAATGTTTGTAACAGTTCTTGTTGCCTGAAGTTGGAGTTGCGAGTTTTCTCGTTTAGTATTCTTAAAGGAGCACCCAGAATGAACATGAATAAACTTAAATTACACAATAATAATGATTTTTGGACCATACTGGAAACATGGCAGCCCATACAATCCAAATTGTCGAGAATAAAGATTTCTAAGCTACTCTCTGACCAACTTTGAGAGTGTGAAAATGAAGCTAATTGTTTTAGTCTTTTCTGTATTGATTATGTTGGAGATCTAATTGAATCAGATAGACATAATATATACATAAGGTGCTGAACCACTGGGATAATGCAGTTGGACTTGTTGCAAACACTGGTATAATTAAGGATTTGTTAACACTTGTATAATAAACCTCTATTATCAAGGACTTTTAACTAAGTATTAAAAATTTATTCTCAGCTGCAACTTGCCATTCAAGGTCTCAGCTAGGAAGCAATTTTCTTTTACAAATTTTCTACAAAAATAAAAAGAAACAAGAAAAAAAAGCCTTCCTCTGTATTGCTTTGTAACTGAGTTTTTCTTTAACGAAAAATCTTAGGCCTGGGTTTCCCTTCTGAAAGGGAAAATTCCTGAAACACGAGAAGTCAAAGAAGAAACAGTTTATTTCTACATCTAATGTCCTTTCTCATCAGGTAGAGGGCTCCTTTTGAAAGTATATTTGCATTTTTTTTAATTTAAAAAGGAACTATGCTTGTTTTAAGAGGTTAAATAACACAACGCTGTTTAAAGAAATTACTCAAAACCTGCTCCTTTCTTATATAATCCCACCTACCTGATACCTAACTTTAATTGTGCATTCTTCTATACATTTCCTTATATTTATAAAAATATGTATATTTTTATTTTTTACTACATAAAAGAAGTCAAATTTGAACTTAATTCTTCTAAACCTCTTTTTTTTTTTTTTTTTTTTTTTTAAACAAGGTCTCACTTTGCCACCTAGGCTGGATGCAATGCAACGGTATGTTGATCTTGGTTCACTGCAGCCTCAACCTCCTGAGCTCATGTGATCCTCCCACCTCAGTCCCCCACGTCGCTTGGATTACAGGCCTGTGCCACCACACCTGGCTAACTTTTTTTGTAATTTTTGTAGAGACAGGGTCTCACTATGTTTCCCATGCTGGTCTTTAATGCCTGAGCTCAAGCCATCCGCCTGCCTCGGCCTCCCAAATTGCTGGGATTACAGGCATGAGCCACCATGCCCAGCCTAATTCTTCTAAATCTTATCCTAGTAATTAAGCCAGAATTTTTCTCTGCCAAGACCAATAGATGGACCAAGAAGTACTCATCCTTGTAAACTTTCTTTGGATAAATTGCTTACATATAATAAATTCAGAGTTAAGTAATAAAAATAATGAACTACTGTCTTGAATTATTTGTTCTCAAATAATTTCCCTTAAACCCATTCACACTCGTATCAGTTTCTTCATGTCCTTTCATCCTGAGGGCAGCACACGGCCCTGTGAGAGATGCACAGTAATCCTACTAGCCGTGAACTGAGTCTGGATGCTCCTTTCTCCTGCACAGAAAAACTGCTGAGACTCACTACCCCATCCAATCTAACTTCAGTGGTTTCTACTGAACTCCATGTCTTAAAAGTAACAATCAATGTTTTGACCACAACATGCAAATCTTTTCTAGATACTTCTCTCTTCTCTTCTTAGTAAGAAGAAGGTGTCACAGCACCCAAATGACCACAGACAGAGAAAGTGTCTTGTTGGGGCAGAGACATACTTAATGAACCCATCATTTCAAAATTATCAGGATTTATTTTCGTGAGCCAGTATAAGTGGCAAGAGAAATAATAATAGTGATCTCAAAAAATGAATGGTAATTGCCTTGATGATCTTTATGATTAATTCCTTTGATGGCTAATTTATTGTGTGAAATTCCTGTTGATGCATGATGAACTTAGGGGCTTAAAACAACACACATTTATTATCTGACTGCTGCTGAGTCAGAAGTCTGCGTGTGACTTAACTGGGTCCTTTGCTTATGGTCTCACACGGCTTCAATCAACATGTCGGCCAGGACTGTGATTCCATCTAAGGCTTGCAGTCCTCTTCCTAACTCACTGGTTGTTGGCAGAATTCAGTTCCTTGAGGTTGTAGTACTGACGCTCTCAGCTCCTGGACTACCAGGAAGTTCCTAGTCACATGACCCTCTGTACAACATGGCTGTTTGCTTCTTTAAGGTCAGGAAGAGAGTGTCTCTTCCTGTAGTCGGCTAAGATGGAGACTTATATAATGTAACAAAGTAATGGAAATGAAATCTCATCACCTTCGCCATATTATTTGGCTAGAAGCAAGTCATGGTTTCCACCCACACTCAAGGGAAGGGAATTTGATAAGAGCATAAATCACTTAGCATGTGTCTGTCACATTTATGTGTACATATGTTTGTTTATTAGCACAATTTTTATTAAATTAATAAAATAAAATTCTCATTTAGCTAGCATTTTGGAAATCTTCATTTAAACGTAATTTCCTGTTGAACAACTTACGGTGAAGAGCAGAAAATTTACACTTTAATATTTCTGATTTTTTTCTAAAACGAATTATATAGGCTTTTGCCTTTAAAAAAAAAAGGTTATCTGTATGCAATTTTACTTTTCTGACTTGAGCCCATCTCTAGAACCTCAGTTGCTGCAATGTGCCATCTTCAGTGATATCCTCATGGATTCTTAAAGTGAGAAGAATCTTTTTTATTCATCTCTTCAGTGTTTACTGCTCTGTCTCAATTATTGTGTTAGATACATACATATATCTAGACAGAATATATCTATTTCAGTAGATATATACTGAAATATATGTAGATATATTTCAGTAGATAATATATACCTATATTATATACATATATATAGATACATATATACAGATAATATATACATATATATAGATAATATATACATATATTATCTACTGAAAAGTAAAGGTGTCCAAAAATAAGCTCTTAGACCCTACTAGTAGAAATATAAATTGGGTCAACAAATTTTGGAAAAAAAAAAGGTATTATCCAGCAAAGTTGAAGATGCACACTTCTATGACTCGGAATCTCTAACATAGATATATATCCCAGAGAAAATTTTTCACAATAATGTTCATAATACCATTGTTCCATACAGCAAAAACTGGAGATGAGTGACTAAAAAAATTTAAAAATATATTATGAACTATTCATACAATGGAATGTTATACCAAAGTGAAAATTAATGACCTCTATCAATATGGACAAACCTCACAAACATCATGTTGAGAAGAAAAAACATGAGTTACAGAAGAAAACATTCAATATGCAAAGAATATTTTTATAAAGTTCAAAACCATGCCAAACTCAACACCCTACTTATATATAAATATTTTAATAAAAAAAATAAGCTGGGCGTCGTGGCTCACGCCTGTAATCTTAGCACTTTGGGGGGGTCGAGGCAGGCAGACCATGAGGTCAGCAGATCAAGATCATCCTGTCCAACATGGTGAAACCCCGTCTCTATTAAAAATATGAAAAATTAGCTGGATATGGTAGTGTGTGCCTGTAATCCCAGCTACTCAGGAGGCTGAGGCAGGAGAAACCCTTGAACCTGGGAGATGGAGGTTGCAGTGAGCTGAGATCGTGCCACTGCACTCCAGCCTGGCAACAGAATGAGACTCTATCTCAAAATAACAACAACAATGAAAAAAAAAAAAAGAATAAGAAAGTAAGAAGGAATTTTAACTCAAAATTTAGGTGAGGGAGAAGTTTTGGGGAGTAGGAGAGGGGGGGAATGTTTGTGTTTAAAAGCTCCTAGTATGTTCTATTTTCAAAAGGAGTGGTGTGTATACAAATGCATGCTTTATTATGTGCACCTTGCATACACTGGTTTATGATATATAGTCTTATTTAATAATATTTAATAATTTAAAATAAAAACACTTCAACAAATTACACAACTTTTAGGTGTTAGGTTTGAAGATCCTACATAGATTCAGGAGAAGGTGTTTAAAGTGGTAGACAAAAGGGAAGAGGGACTGTTCTTGTTTAGCACATCCTCAGAGTGTTAGAGTAGGTAGGGATGAGGAGACCTAATATCTGAATGGAAAAGGCCAAGATGAGAGAGAAGGGTCAAAGAAGTACTAGACTTAGGTGAGGGGTCATATACAGTACTTCACAACTCAGTATTTCTGGGAGGCATGAAGAGGTGGCTATAGTGGCAAGAATGGGATTGTGTAGAAGGACACCTATCCCCGCGTAGGTGTATCTTAGGTCTACTCTTGCTTCTGTTCTCCTGTAACTTTGCCACTGTATTAGCATCTAGGGAACTGGATGTATGGGAGCATTTACCTCACACAATTTAGTAGCCGTTAGCATTCAGCAGCAACGTTCACCATTCAGGAATCAGACAGATCTAAGTCTAAAATTTCAGCTTTACTATGTTTTAGTTTAGCAACCTTTGTAAAGTAATTTAGCTCCTCCCTAAGGCTTAGTTTCTTAATGACGATAATATACCCATTCTCCAAATATTTACTGAATGCCAAGTATTTGCTAGGCACTGTGCTAGAAACCAGCAAACCAGTGACAGATCAGAAAACTTTCAGGTTTTAGTGACAGCAAATCTAATTCACATGGGCTTAAACTTGTGAGGCATATATTGGCTCATGTGGTGGAAAAAGTATATTCTGTGGATAGTATGTTTCAGGTGTAGCTTGATTCAGGGCTCAAACTATCTCCTTAGGGTCCATTCCTACACTCTTGTTCCTCTGGATTGTCTTCCTTCCAAGCTCTTTCTTCTAAGGCATCATCATGTTTACATCATAATAATACTCAAAAAGAAAATGCCTGTTAAGGTATTGTGCATACAAGCCCTGGTGTTCACTCTCTCTCATTAGCCCATATTGAATCCCATGCTCATTTCTGGTCAGGAAAATGGAA
Source organism: Homo sapiens (assembly GCF_000001405.40). Classification (NCBI taxonomy): domain Eukaryota; kingdom Metazoa; phylum Chordata; class Mammalia; order Primates; family Hominidae; genus Homo; species Homo sapiens. Next base: position 89,172,234 of record NC_000005.10, read on the forward strand.
TGACTAGATGAGCTTAAGCCCAGGTCATATGTCCCATCCCTGGAGTCTGGGATAACTCCACTGCATACACTGTGAAATGGGGAGAAGTTTCCTCAAAGCATAATGGGGATACAGTTTCCAAAAGGAGGAATGTTAATTCTAAGGAAGCACAATCAAGAAATGTCCATTTCAAATTGTAAGCAAAAGCTTCCCCAGTTGTTGCCATCATTGAGCTTACAGTTCAATGTGGAGGATAATTAAAATAATCTCAAAAATAAGTGTATAATTGCAGTTGAAAAGACTGTGAGGAAAGAGAGAAGCATAATGCCATGAGAGTTATAGTGAGGAAATTTGGTCTACTCTGGTAGGTTGGAGAAGGCTTTCCCAAGGAAAGACGGCTTGGGCTGGATTAAAAAAATGGATAAAATTCAACGAATTGAATACTGGAAAGAAGAACATTTCTGGAAATGTATCAATGTGTTAAAATGCTTGGTGACAGAAGGGAGTACTGCAAATATTAGGATCTAATCACTTTCTTAGAGCAAAGAAAACCCACACTGTATTGTGGGTGATGGACTGAAATGACAGGGAAAGACCAGAATCTACAGCACCTTCTGGACCATTTTATGGAGTTAGGCCTTTGCCACAAGGGCAGTCGGAAGCTTTTCAGGATTTTAAACAGAGAGACAATGTGATCAGTTTTGAATTTCAAAAAGATTCTTTCTTTCATTGTGAAGAAAAATTAGAGGAATTGATGTGGGCTACCAATAAGGATGCTATTGCAGTAGTAGTGGTTCTCACCCAGGGGGTTATTTTATCCCACAGGGGACATATGGCAATGTCTGGACACATTTTTAATGGTCACTAATGATGAGGAGTGCTACTGGCATCTGATGAGTAGAGATCAGGGACCCTACTTAGCATCCTGCAATATAGAGAACAGCCCTGTGATGGTTAATACTGAGTGTCAACTTGATTGGATTGAGGGATATGAAGTATTAATCTTGGGTGTGTCTGTGTGGGTGTAGCCAAAGGAGATTAACATTTGAGTCAGTGGGCTGGGGAAGGCAGATCCACCCTTAATCTATTGGGTGCAATCTAATCAGCTTCCAGCTAACATAAAGCAGGCAGAAAAATGTGAAAAGTAAGATGGGCCTAGCCTCCCAGCCTACATCTTTTTGCTGGATGTTTCCTGCTGTTGAACATTGAACTCCAAGTTCTTTAGTTTTGGGACTTGGACTGGCTCTCCTTGCTCCTCAACTTGCAGACAGCCATTTGTGGGAACATGTGATTGTGTAAGTTAATAATTAATAAACTCCCCTTTACATACAGTTATTGGTTCTGTCTCTCTAAGAGAATGCTAATACAAGCCCGTTTCAATAAAGGAGTACCTGGTCCAAAATGTCAGTAGTGTCAGGGCTAAGAAACACTGGTCCAGATGAAGAGATCATGGCTTGTTAGTGGTGAGGCAAATGGAGAGAAGAAATATATTAGGCAAATGTGAAGATATGAAGAAGTATGATTGACAGGGCTTGTGGAGGGAATGAATACTAGTGTAAGATATGGCAGTACTCATTCACTGAGTTGGAGACCACTGAGAAAAGAGCATGTTTTATAAGAAAGTGTTTTCATTTTTGAGTTTGAAGCAACTTTGATATCTCCAAAGTTATCAAGTAGGTATTTAAATATTTAGGTCTGGAGATCAGATGAAAAGTCTGTATTAGCAATTTATATATCTAATGCGTCTCTGATTAGGTGGTGGGTTTAGATGAGATTGCCTAAGGAAGGAGTATAGATTTGGAAGAAAAGAGATTGGAGGATTGAACCTGGAGGAGCTCCAACATTTAATAGCCTCATAAAAGATAATGACAGAGAAAACTATAATTCTGTGTTCTAAGTGTTATGAAGAAAATTACAGACATCTAAGGTGTAATACTATTTATGTGTAGGGATTAACAAGATCATATATGTGAAGTGTCTAATGTAGAGTAAGCCCTATATAAATAGCAATTATTATTATTAATCTTACAATAAGATTATTATTCTTAATACTTTGATCTGCTTTTAATAATTTTCAGTACTTCTCCTTCTACCTGCCTTTAGTCTAGCATCGATTAGAGAGTGGATAACCAGGAATGTGAAATTAGTCATCCTATTTTATACCCAGTTCTAAATACACAGATTCTGGCTAAAACAGTAAGGATGGCTGCAGTCTTTATTGTAGTGTAATCACACCTGTGTAGAGATATTTGCGCTTATGGGAATAAAGTTAAACTATTGACTGTTATTTAATATACTTATGTTGTGTGGTGATGTTTCTTAGTATTTGCTCTGTACCATTCTGACCCTTATGACACGTATACTGGAATTCCTCTTCTGGCCTCCAACTGGTTTACTTCTCTTACTCAACAATTGGGTAAAACACTCTTTTGTCAGTGAATTTCTACAAGAGCACTTACAAGCACTTTCTCTACAAAATTGCATTTTGAAACTTGACACATTTCAAACTCACTGCATGTTTACAATTTCCCACCTTAAAGATTATTTCTCTGATTTGTTTACATGTTTGTTTTTCTACTTAAATTTTAAATTCCTTTGAGATATGAAAGCAGGTCTTTTTTTTTTTTTTTTTTTTTTTTTTTTTTTTGAGACAGGGCCTCACTCTGTCACCCAGGCTGGAGTGCAATCGTATGATGTTGGCTCACTGCAACCACTGCCTCCTGGGTTCAAGCAAATCTCAGCCTTCCAAGTAGTTGGAATTACAGGTGTGCACCACCATGCCTGGCTAATTTTTATATTTTTAGTAGAGACAGGGTTTTGCCATGTCGGCCAGGCCAGTCTCAAACTCCTGACCTCAAGAGATCTGCCCGCCTTGGCCTTCCAAAGTACTGGGATTACAAGTGTGAGCCACTGCGCCCAGCTAAAGCAAATCTTAGTCATCTCAACATACTGGCTAGAACTTAGCAAATAATTGTCAAATTAAAAAGGATAGTAAGACTGGCAAAAATTATTTAAGAGGAGACTATAGCACCTCATAGTGTCAGAAAGTAAGGAAATGTTGAACACTAGTCCCCACCTCCAAACACACATATGTACATACACACACATAGATGACATGCATCAAAGAGACACAGGAGCCAACTGAAAAGGATCACAGTGGTCAAAGCTGGAAAACTTTGAGCAACAATAACAAAAATATAAAATAAATGTCCGTGAATCCATACTGATATAAATATATGATTAAATAAATGGGGAGAGGAGACAAATGTCCCTTGCAGAAGAATCCCAAATAGTTTTTGTAGATACTCTGCCTTCAAGAAAGTGGATCATAACTCTCTGCTCTTTGTGTGTGGGTTGTGCGTATTAATTTCTTTCGCAGTATGGAAAAGGGGAAAATAATTTTATAGGGAAGGAACTTGACAAATATCAACTCAGCCTGGAGATGACAGTTAGCATCAACTGTGATAAGTCATGTTAAAAGCATGTACCCTTGATATGACATGGTGAGAATAGCATCACGTCTGTGATCTCTCAAAAGTCCATAACCTAGGCCGGGCACGGTGGCTCACGCCTGTAATCCCAGCACTTTGGGAGGCCGAGGCGGGCGGATCACGAGGTAAGGAAATCGAGACCATCCTGGCTAACACGGTGAAACCCTGTCTCTACTAAAAAAAAAAAAAAAAAAAAAAAAAAAAAAAAAAAAAATTAGCCGGGCATGATGGCGGGCGCCTGTAGTCCCAGCTACTCCGGAGGCTGAGGCAGGAGAATGGCGTGAACCCGGGAGGCGGAGCTTGCAGTGAGCCAAGATCGCACCACTGCACTCCAGCCTGGGCGACAGAGCGAGACTCCGTCTCAAAAAAAAAAAAAAAAAAAAAAAAGTCCATAATCTCAATCTAATTGAGGAAAAACACCAGAAAAATTTCATTATGGGGCACTCTATAAAATATTTAGCAAATAATCTTCAAAACTTTCGAAGTCATAGAAAACGAGGAAAGTCTGTTAGAGCCAAGAGGAGCCTGAGGAGACGTGATGACAGTGTGTCATGGGGTATCCAAGATGGAATCTTGGAGCGGAAAAAATGGCATTAGGCAACAACTAAGTAAATAGGAATAAAATAGAGGCTTTAGTTAATGATGATGTATAAATATTAGTTTATTAATTGTTAAGAAATGAACCATACCAGTGTAAGATAATGATAGGAGAAACTGGGTACAGAGCATCCAGACATGAACAGTTAAGTAGACACATCCAGAGGTATATTTCAGCTTTTATTTGACATTTGCTAAAATGAACTTCGCGTCTGTCTTATTTTACAGTTCTTCCCTAGCAGTTAGTGGATAGAAAACCTCCTTTAGATATGTCTTTGCCTATCTATTGTCCTTTAGCTTGGGTTTTCGACAAAAGAAAGACCTGGGTTTGAATCTCACATGTACAATTTATGATCTGTGTGATAACCTGCAATTATATAGCCTCTCTGGCTGCTTTTCTTCATCAACTGATGAAGGTAAGAATACCTACATCCCATGTTTATTTTACAGATACGGTAATGTGGGTAAAGCACTTCTCATGGAGTTTTACTTTTAAAAATGCTAGCCATTGCTATTATTATCATCATTATAGATCCTCATTTTCTTATTTAACCTCATATTTTCTTCTCATGCCTACACGTGAACATTAGAAATAGTCTTATATAATCATAATTTTTACAAAGAAAAGATGTACAATAATACCCCAAAATTCTCAAGCTTAGGAAAAAGAAAATTAAAATTAAGATATTGGGCAGCATGGTAAAGCTCCAGAGGATCGATTCTTTTCTCACATTCTTGATGGTTATCATTTCACTTCTGGTTAGCTTAGAATAGATAGCAAAACCTGGAAGAGGAAATTGTGTAGGGGCAATCTGGCTAAAACAGCCACTAAATGATCACATTTTATTGAACTAGTTTATTTAGCTAAAAGACTCCAGCTGTCTTTCACACCACCTTTGCTCTTCATTTGCCTTTCCCTGACATTCAAGTATGTGTTGAGTGGGTGAAAATATCTATTTTCAAAGAATAGAGATAGAGATATTTTCTCTGTTTTCTATTTTTTTCTAGAGAATAGAAATATTATTTGGATCTTCTGAGAAATGTCCAGCTTTACTAATGATTTGAGCCATGCCTTTTGGCCTAAATAATGTGGGTGTGTTTAGATGTATTTGGAGTAAGCACTAATAATTTACATCAGTAGATGACTGGGAAATATCTCCTTTGATGACCTAAATAGAAAGATGTTGACATGAAAGAATAGAGACTTTTCCCAAAACATCAATGTGCAACTGAAACAATACTAAAGGGGAACTTTCCAAGATGCAGTGATTTGGAGAATTACTTGAGATAGGTCTTTCTTCATTTTACAGTGTTGATGAACATGAATTTTCTAAGAGTGTCTTACCTACATACTGCATATCAACTAAAAATTCTGTACTCTTTCATTAGATGCTCTACCAAAAAGCTTAATCTAAATAGAATTTAATATTTAGTGCCGAACCACAGAAACTTAAGAGCCTGAGCATCTCATAGGTTTAAATAATATTTCCTGGTTGCCAAATGCTAATTTAACATATATACAAATGAACATGGTGTGGGATCAGAGGAAGAATTCTACCGGTTCACCACGTTCTGTCTTCTTGAGACATACGTTCTATAGAGACACCTCTTGTATCCTTCAGCATGTTCAAATTTCAGTATGGATTAACATTGTATTGACAAATTTTAACAATAAATTAAAAGTAATCAAATTACATGCATCTTTTCTTTGAGGATAAGGACATATTGAAAATGTGTTATCAAGACATTGCTTTTCACATACATTCATTAGTAATTCAAAGATTTAGTAGCTGATAGTGATGTTAGTGTAATTAACAGGAAAAAATGGAAGAAAAGCATGTTGCTATAGCAATGTGTTCATCATGAATGATCTACAGCATAAACACCCAGATTAATTTACAAGACGCCAGGTAGAGAGCTGCATGGCTGACTAGGCTACTCTCAGATGCCACAGTATTTGTTTTTATTAAGCATAAACATTACAGTGGAGCTTTCAAGGTATGTGTGCTTGTCACTGTCAATCATACAGAGGTTGCATTCCCAGGGAGTTTTCAATTCACTTTAAATTTTTAACAGATGAAGAGAAACAATTTTTTTCCCAGAGAATTAAAAATTATATATACCAGCACAGATGACATTTTGACACTGCCTTCTTGCTCATGGGCAGAGTGTGTTTCTGTATTATCTTCACACTTGCTTTTAATACTAGAAGTATGGGGGTTTTACTCTGCAAAATGATTTAAAAATAGTGAAATTGGAAGCCATGGTGTCAGAAAACCTCTTAAGAAAGCACTTGTGGGTATGACCATGAGCCGGATGACATTTTAGCCTATCATAGTTTAGGTTATTACTAGAAACTTAAGGCAAAAAAAGGCATCCTTACCTCATTGGGCAGAGAAATGTGATATGTGGGTATATATAGGTGTGTGTTTATGAGCATGTCTGAGAGATATAGTGGCCAACTGGATGCTTCTTGCTAATGGTATTTTGAGGCCTGGAGCCAGACACATGGGATGGCACTAGGGACTCACATTCCCCAGCTTGGTCAGTAGGGTGGTTTTGCAGCCATGGCACAAACATAGCACGTTTGTGACCTGACCTTCTCATTCCATTATGAGAATAGACCAATTTTAGAGTTAAGAAAAAGCTAGAAGGGCTGTATAACTTAAAAGAAAGGCTCAAGGATATCAGAGACAGTGAAGCTTAGATGATCTTGTTTTCACTTGTTTACTACTGATACTTAGGCTTCATGGAGTAATGTAGATGCTGTATGAGACTCGTGTGGATGCTGTGCAACGAGCAGAAATTTGACCAGCTTATTCAGCATGTAGAAATACCGGTAAAAGCTGTGATGTGAGCAGCCTCTGAATTTTAATCAAATATTATCTCAGAAAAATCTGAAAGTGGAGATAACATATTCTAGTGGGACACTGATGTATAGTATTGACTTGGGACAAGAGTCAAGCCACCATATTCTTCTAGAGCACTTGTTGCATGACACAGTCATTACCTTTGGGCAGCATGAAAGTTGTAAAGGTCCAAAGTACGATTCTTTTTTTTATTTTAAAATTTAAATTGTTGTGGGTACATAGTAGACATATGTATTTATGAGATACATGAGCTATTTTGATACAAGTATACAATGTGTAATAATCACATCAGGGCAGATGGGCTATCTATTACTAAGGATTTATGCTTTCTTTGTGTTACAATCTAATTATACTCTTAGTTATTTTTAAATTCACAATAAATTATTGTTGGCTGTAGTCATCCTGTTGTACTATCAAATACTAGATTTTATTCATTCTATCTAGCTATATTTTTGTACCCATTAACCATCCCTAATCCTGCCACAGCACTACCGTTCTTGATAGCATGCCAACATGTTTGAAGGCAGGAACTTCAAGAACATAAGGAAGAATAAGAATGTTGTGGGTTTGTTTTTCCTCTAGTCTAGAGAAGGATTGAGTTTTTGGGAATAACTCCGAACATCTGGTCAAACCATGTATGTTATGAGTCTCGGCCAAGGGGATACTTAAATTTTAAGCCAGACCTGGCATTCACCAGTACTATCCTTATGGGATTTAGTTTGGAGGCTAAAGGTTGCCAAACCCAAGTTTGGACCCTGCATTACTTAGGCTGGATAGACAGACACTGTAGAGGAAATGAACAATAAACATTGTATCCTTTGAGATTCCACAAAGAAAAACAATAAACTTGCACCAGTCATGGTTCCAATAAAGGTTGGGTTTCTTCAGGCTACTGCCCAAATAAAGGCTATTGCAGGCAGTCTGCGCCTGAAGAGACAAGTAGCTTTCTTTTCATGCTCCACCCTGTTAGGGAGTCAATTCTGGCAACCAGTGAAGTTGGTGCTAATCTAATCAGGATGTTTTGTTTTAACTTCTGATGTGGCACTGTGTCTGCATTGAGGAGGAAGAAATGATTTTTTTTTTAAGATGCTACACTTCCAATGTTTATAAGGGTGTTTCTGTTGTTTTCCCAATACAGATTTTGCGTAAAACTAGTTTTGGTATTTAGTCTTTTTACAATGCTACCTGTAGTACAGTGGTTCTCAACCTAGAGTGACTTTGCCCTCAGGAGACATATGGCAATGTCTGGAGACATTTTTAATTGTCATGACTGAGTTGAATTGTTATGAGTGTGTGTGTGTGCTACTGGCATCTAGTGGGAAAGACCAGGGATGCTGCTAAGTGGTCTACAATGCACAAGATAGCCCTCCGCAACAAAGATTTATCTGGTCTAATGTGTCAATAGTGACCTTGTGAAATCCAGATTGAGTGTAATTGTATGATGGGGTCTTGATATTGATCCTGTGTTTAATACAACACAACCAAAGGTGGTATATCTAAAGCCACAAGTAATGATTTTATTATCAACATTATATATTAGATAGATAGATAGATGATAGATAGATAGATAGATGGATAGATAGAGCTTGGAAATTCTCTCATGTGAAACCTTGAAAAAAATGTATTTAAGTAAGAGCAAAGGCAACTAGCAATGTAATAATAATTTAGATTATCTTCAAATATAAAGTGAAATGGAGGAAAAAATGTTTCACTGAAAATATTATTTCTGAAGAGATATTTTCACCTTCAATTTCTGGTCTAAAATTTGGGAAAATAACCATCTTAGATGTTCCAAAAGCCCATATGTCTGTATATTATTTGGAAATAGGAATAAAATACAGTGTTATAAACTCTTGTTGGGTAAAATGGCATCTAGAATTTAATAAATATTTATTTTGCAAGCAGTGGTGTGTGTGTGTGTGTGTGTGTGTGTATGTGTGTGTGTAGACAGTATATAATGTTATTTGGGATTCATAACAAACCTGTCAGATTGGCATAATTACTCTGGATTATAAATAAGGAAGCCAACGAGGTGAGATCTGTACCTACGTCTCCCCAGGATTCAAACCTGAGTGTTTTATACCACACTACACTGCCTCTGAATCTGAAATATACTTGGTCATAGTACTAACACTACTGTATGGATTTGTGGGTTTGAGGAGCACAGAATCATGTAATGCAGAAGGAAGACAAAGAGCATTCCCTCCTCTAGCCTCTGATGTGGCGTTGTGTAAAATTTCAAGGTTGGCAGATTTCATCTTTACATTCTCTCAACTTCTGCTCTAATCCTGCCCTCTTACTCTAATTCCACAACACCAGAACCTACACATTATCCTGCCTATTCTAATGCAGTGCCCAATAATTGAAGGTTTTTCTTTCTCCTTTAGTACCAGTCAAAATTCTCCTTCAACACATAATAACTAACTTTAATAGGTCATAGTAATTTCTACAGAAATGTATGTGTTTTTGTAGAGGATGACAATAAATTTTGACCATCCAGAATTGTGGTGAGAAATCTATGGTGTGGGGAAGACTTGTAGGAGCTTGTTCTAGATACCTCAGGTCTAGACTTCATTCTTTTCTGGCCAGCTGTGTGCCTCTGGGCAAATTCTCAGGGCTGAATTCTCAGGTCTTCTGTTTTGCCATCTATGATGAATGGAGAAGCTGATAGAGATATCAGCATAGGTGATGACAATAAAATTAAAGACAATGAAGAAATAAAGATATACAAATGCATTAAAAAGTCTTGAAGGATACACAACAAAACAAAATGCTAATTAGTGGTTACTTTTTAGAAGACCTTGGTGGTTTTGTGCTTTTTACTCCACATATTGTGAAAAATTTCAATAAGCACATGTAATTTTATAATTTTAAAAGCAATGAAATAGTTTTAACATTAAAAAGAAGAAAAATGAAATGGGATAATCTGTAAAAATCTCTTGTAGTGTTCACAGTCCATCGTTAACCTGTTTGCTTGGCTCAGCACAATTTTCTTAGAAGAATGAAACAATAAGAATGGAGAAGAGTGATACCAGGTGTTTCTGGAGTGTGTGGTTTATGATTCTATGGGTACTTGGATTTGTTGGGATGTTGGTGCTGATGCCTGTTTTGTAAGCTCACTGTGGAATAACTGGCTCCCTGAAGTCAGAGCAATGCTTCACAGCATGTCAGACAATGTCATGCCTCACCCCTGCTCAAAAAGTAGGATTCCTCATTTCACTTATAGTAAAGGCCAAAGTGCAGACAAATGGCTTAAAATGCCCTGTGTGATCTCTGCACACACCCCAGTGCCTTCTGACCTGCTGACCTCATTCCTGCTTGTATTCCATTCCTTACTCTGTGCCATCCCCTGTTCCCTCCTTTCCCTAGAATGCATTCAGCATATTCTGCCTCAGGACCTTTGTATTGGCTCTTCCCCTGCTTGAAATACTCCATTTATAGGTCCAGGTATTGATATGGTGAACCCCCTTGCTTGCTTCAAATCTTTGCTGAAATGCCACATTTTTAATGATGCCTGGCCTATCTTCTTTAAATTGCTACCCTCCCCTGCTTTAAGAACCCACTTGTTCCCTTCTACTTGTTCTTTTATTTAATATGATATATTTACTGTTATCATTTATAATCTGTGTTCTGTGAAGAACACAGATGTCCTCCTTAATTTTTCCAAGTGCCTGGAACTGTACCCAGCACATAGCTGGATCTTAATAAATATTTCCTGAATTTGTTAATGGAGATTCTATGTAGATCTTTTGTTTGTTGGTACATTTTCTTGGGCTGAATTTTGAATTTTTTTTAATTTGGTCTCATTCAGCTAAAAAGTATGGAAAAGAAAATAATATTTTATATCTTTTTAATTCATTAGAGAAGCTTTACTTCGATAAGCCCTCTATTTTGTTTTCGTTTGTTTTGTTTTGTTTTGAGACAGGTTCTCACCCTGTTGCTTAGGCTGGAGTGCTGTGGTGCAGTCACAACTCACTGCAGCCTCAATTTCTCCAGCTCAGGTGATCCTCCCACCTCAGCCACCTGAGTAGCTGGACTACAGGTGCATGCTGCCATGCCTGGCTAATTTTTGTATTTTTAGTAGAGACAGGGTTTTGCTATATTGCCCAGGCTGGTCTTGAACTCCTGAGCTCAGGCGATCCACCTGCCTTGGCCTCCCAAAGTGCTGGGATTATAGGCATAAGCCACTGCGCCTGGCTTAAACCTTATATTTTGAATAAGAGCTCTGATCTTGCCTCATTTCACCTGAAAATTAATAAAGAGCAAAAATAGAGTATGTGTAATTACCTTACATTACTGTGTTTTTGAGATTCTGAAGGATTATAACATTCAGAGGCTTTCTTGTTTCTTTCTAGAGGACACTAACTGTAGGAATAACTGAATATTAATGAAAAAAATTGCATATTTGTGTTTACTAATGAAAATATAGTCATCTGTACTCAGATATTTTCAATTAAAAATAATTATTTAAAAGTCATTCATCCATGGTTTGTTTCCATTTAAGAATTACAAAACAAAAATATCACTAAAGAAAAATAATATATAAATTTAAAGATAAAATAGTTCATAATTAGAAATCACAGGATTTTCATTTTCAGATTTAAAGACTTTTAAGAATTTTTTTTATTTGGTACACTGGGGTATGGGTTCTACATAAGTAGAATCAGAATATCATCAATTAGAACATGGACATGCATTTTAAATTTTGAAATGTAGAATTTAATTATATTTCTTTATGCTCAGTGTGTGTGCTTATTGGTGTGTATGACGAAAATTGTGTTTGTAATATATATATATGTTATATTATATATATTATATATATAGCCAAACTCATTCATTCACTTCATTAGTTAAAAATATGCTATTTATGATGTCTGAGGGTGTCTAAATCCAAAACCCCAAGCTCTTTTCCCTAGAATGTAATTTTAACCTACCTTAGGGGATTTTCATGATTGAGTAAAAAAAAATTCTCTAGATATCGTAGGGGGCATACATAACTGAATCTGTGGAATAATAAGGAAATTAATAATATGGTTTCATTATATTTGTTCCTAAGAACAAAATTATACTACGAAGTTCTGTTCTCAGGTATGGTATATTTATATCACTCTGGTGGTTAAATAAATTTAAACATTCTGATACAGTAAGGACCTAAGATGAACTTGAGTATCTATTTGGCTGACCATATTACAAACTTATCTATTTGGCTGATGATATTACAAGCTTATCTGGAGCAGAGTCTATGCTTAACCTTTCTTCCCATCCTCTCCTGTGCCTTGCCTGAAACAGTTCTTAATATGTAATTGTTGGTAGATAGGTGTTAATGAAGAGCAAAGTGTGTTGTGCAGGAGCCTGTGGAACAGCAACACTTAAGTTCTGCAGTGAGGAAAGGGAGATAATTAAAGAGACAAAACAAAAGCATCCCAGAAATTGGGAAGCAAATTATAAGAGTACACAAGAATGGTGTCATGGAAACCAAAGAGAAGGGAAACAATCCAGAAGAAAGGTGTGGTCAAGAAATATCAAACGTCGCAGAAGATTTTGGATCAAATACTCTTTAGGCTCCTGTCCCAGCAGCCACTTCATCTTTACATATTGATGTTTAGACCATGGTATCATTTGAGGGCATCCTGAAAATGCACCAGGGATTGAAACTCCTGTAGTTTTGCATAAGTCAAGATATTTTGCAGGTGAGTTTAACAAGGTAGGTGCTAGACCAGTAAAGCTCAGGAACACTAGAAAACTTGAACATTTCTGTTTTCTCTAACCAATATCTGGTATTTTAATCTATATCTATGTAGATTTTGGTGCAGTGGAGACAAGATTTTAGGAAAAAGCAGGATTGAAATATGACTCAATTACACACATGCGTTATGTATACACATTTATGTGTAATATGCATGTATATATTTCTCCTCAATTTATAGAAATCAGTATTTGAACATAAAACTCCTTTAAAAACAATTTGAAGGGATCCTTAGAGATAATTTTTAAAGTTTTATTATGTTCAGCTGATAATAAAATATCAGTCTGCACCCATCTGTAGATACTGTTATAATTGATCAGGTTATTTCTCATATATTTATTAAACATTGATAACATTTTGATGAGTTTTATAATCAACACACTTTCAATGCAATACAATACACAATGCATGGTGAAACAGTCTTTTCATTTTAATGGTTACGTCCAGCTAAGCTCAAAGACAGTCCTCTGTAACAAATTGTGTTGCTTGATTGAGAAGGCGTTTAAAAGGATCATAATAAAAACAAATCAGCTGCCGTTAAATTCCAAAGTAAATTAAATCACACTTTAAAACTGCATTGTACCATTTTGCTGTGCAGAAGCTTTTTAGTTTAATTAGATCCCATTTGTCAATTTTGGCTTTTGTTGCCATTGCTTTTAGTGTTTTAGACATGAAGTCCTTGCCCATGCCTATGTCCTGAATGGTAATGCCTAGGTTTTCTTCTAGGGTTTTTACGGTTTGAGGTCTAACGTTTAAGTCTTTAATCCACCTTGAATTAATTTTTGTATAACGTGTAAGGAAGGAATCCAGTTTCAGCTTTCTACATATGGCTAGCCAGTTTTCCCAGCACCATTTATTAAATAGGGAATCCTTTCCCCATTGCTTGTTTTTCTCAGGTTTGTCAAAGATCAGATAGTTGTAGATATGCGGCGTTATTTCTGAGGGCTCTGTTCTGTTCCATTGATCTATATCTCTGTTTTGGTACCAGTACCATGCTGTTTTGGTTACTGTAGCCTTGTAGTATAGTTTGAAGTCAGGTAGCGTGATGCCTCCAGCTTTGTTCTTTTGGCTTAGGATTGACTTGGCAGTGCGGGCTCTTTTTTGGTTCCATATGAACTTTAAAGTAGTTTTTTCCAACCATCAGAGTGAACAGGCAACCTACAAAATGGGAGAAAATTTTTGCAACCTACTCATCTGACAAATGGCTAATATCCAGAATCTACAATGAACTCAAACAAATTTACAAGAAAAAAATAAACAACCCCATCAAAAAGTGGGCAAAGGACATGAACAGACACTTCTCAAAAGAAGACATTTATGCAGCCAAAAAACACATGAAAAAATGCTCACCATCACTGGCCATCAGAGAAATGCAAATCAAAACCACAATGAGATACCATCTCACACCAGTTAGAATGGCAATTATTAAAAAGTCAGGAAACAACAGGTGCTGGAGAGGATGTGGAGAAATAGGAACACTTTTACACTGTTGGTGGGACTGTAAACTAGTTCAACCATTGTGGAAGTCAGTGTGGCGATTCCTCAGGGATCTAGAACTAGAAATACCATTTGACCCAGCCATCCCATTACTGGGTATATACCCAAAGGACTATAAATCATGCTGCTATAAAGACACATGCACAAGCATGTTTATTGCGGCACTATTCACAATAGCAAAGACTTGGAACCAACCCAAATGTCCAACAATGATAGACTGGATTAAGAAAATGTGGCACATATACACCATGGAATACTATGCAGCCATAAAAAATGATGAGTTCATGTCCTTTGTAGGGACATGGATGAAATTGGAAATCATCATTCTCAGTAAACTGTCGCAAGGACAAAAAACCAAACACCACATGTTCTCACTCCTAGGTGGGAATTGAACAATGAGAACACATGGACACAGGAAGGGGAACATCACACTCTGGGGACTGTTGTGGGGTGGGGGGAGGGGGGAGGGATAGCATTAGGAGATATACCTAATGCTAAATGACGAGTTAATGGGTGCAGCACACCAGCATGGCACATGTATACATATGTAACTAACCTGCACATTGTGCACAGGTACCCTAAAACTTTAAAGTAAAGTAAAGTAAAGTAAAGTAAAGTAAAGTAAAGTAAAGTAAAGTAAAGTAAAATAAAATAAAATAAAATAAAATAAAATAAAATAAATAAAATAAAATAACTGCCTGCATTGTACCCTTTACACAATCCAAAAATGTGTAGTCCTCAGATAGCAAAGGAAATATTAAACTTTACAAAGTAAATCTTTTGCTACTTTACTGGGTTAAAAACTTAATATTCTGAAAAGTTGGCATATGCTTTCAACTGCTGAGACAATCTACCTTAATTTTAAACCAATTCATAATTTCTTCATATTAACCAACAAACAGTAAAGTTAAACTGATTTTGAAAATCAAGCCAGAATTTTTTTAAGACTTCATTCATAAAAATTGTAGCTAGGAGAGCTTAGCTGTTATTTCTGTTGGTTAGACTGAAAGAAAACCTATGTGGTAGACATTAATGTAGAGTTAGCAAGAAGCCTTCTGTCATTATTCAATCTGAAACCCTGCCTGCTAACTCCCCTTCTTGCCAGGTCACTTTCTAGGTTTTCCCTCTATCTCATTCTTCTTCATTATACTTAACACTATTTGATGATACATAATTAATTATTTGTTTAGTTGTTTGTTGGTTGTGCCAAGATTGTAAGCTTCAGGGAGTTTGTCTTATTCATTATTGTATCCCAGGGCCTAGTGCAGTGCCTAACACATGTTAAGTACTCAAATATTTTGGATTAAAAAAAATCAATGAATGTGTTCTTTTTCTGCAATTAGCTCTCTTAAGTAGAGCAATAATTTATCTAGCTTTTAAACATTTCCTGTACCTTTAAAAAAAACCATAGAAGATGTTTTTAAAAACCTTACCATTCATATGTTGTAAAACGTATAAGGGTGTTTACTGAACTTTTACGTTGTGTCCTATTTTTCAAATATACTTGAGTTTGTTGTATAGTAGTCAAGCAGTAAATGCAGAACACAAGCACTTTGTGGGGCAGGCTCATTACACATTTTATTATGTATAATCTTTATTATTATCTCATAAGTCATGAGACTCCATTTTACAGGTGATGAAACTGATACCCAGAGATATAAATAACATACTTGACATACTTAAGATCATATGGTTAATAAGTGACAGAGCCAGGATTTGACCCCTCTGGCTGACCCTACATATATTTCCCTATTGAATCCTCTGAACACCAGTTTACAAAGTACCAAACAAACTAATTTTTGAGTCTTGGTAATCAGGTGAATTTTAGTTAATGATACCTTACTGATAAATTGGCATGCAGCCAACTTAAAAAATAAACACAACAGCTAATCTCTGCATTTTTACTTATACTGAATGATAGAAAATTCACACTTATGTCAATTTTATGTTAGAATTTTAAACATATTAATGTATTTTTTGTAATAGAAGATTCATGGTACATATTCTGGATAAGTATAATTCCAATAGAAGCATGCAAGTTAGTTGAAAACTTACAGGAAATAATGTAAAATAGGTAGAAAAGTTTTCTTGGTCACTGTACTGGGAGCATATATTAGGGCATTGTTTAAAAATGAGAATTGTTAACTGATTTGTTCCTAAATAAAAATAATAAGGAGAAATGCAGACTTTACCCAAATTTTAGAACTCCCTAGCTGATATTCCAAGATATTATCTTTCTAAGAAAGATAATATTAGAAATCTAAATACCTGTCTTTTCTTATATCAGGGAGAAGCCTATCAGTTACAGAATATTGTCATTTTGCAGGGAACGAAAGGTAATAAGGCAGTTCATTTTTCAACTTGGAAATACGCTTGTAGAAATCAGTCTTGACCATTTGCTTACAAAGTAATATGTATAAACATTGATTTTGCTCAGCCTGTTGGTAGACATTGCAGTGTCTCCCACACATATATCCTACCTTTGGTTCGGTTGTGTAGCAGACAGGTTTTCAATGGAATGCATCTGGTTCTCAGCTGAGGAGGTGGGACATGGTAAGTCTAAATTAATTAGGATAAATCTATATCTTGCCATAATGATTACATGTGGAAACTTTGGGCTAAGCCAATTAGCAGATGACATTCTCACTCCCACAAATATTGATTCAGGGTGAGCAAAAGACCTTTTCCAGTCCTATCATGACAAAGCTCACAGATGCTATCTCTCTCTCCTTTGTGTTAACCAGAAAGCATGTGGCCCAGCTAAGTCTAGCAGTATGTTCTTGCTATGAGGAGGGCCGGCCTAGTAGAAAACCTACTGTTTGGAAGAAAGCAGTTCAAGGAAGTTGCAGAGAAGCAGAGCTGCCCTGATGAAACCCTTCCTGTGACTCTTCTAACCTTGTACAATTTGTTTGTATGAGACTCCTATTATTTTGGCCATTTTGAGCTTGGAGTTCCATTACTTGCAACTAAAAGCCTCCTGTGAGGTTATTTAAATGATCTCTGATTCAATTGTCTCCCTCAGCGCCCTCAACTAATCAGGTGCCAAAGCCTTTTGATTCTTTCTCAGGGATAGTTCCTGGTGTTGTGCCCTTTTCTCCATTCCTACAGGTCTTTCTGTCTTCCCATCTATACTGCTGCACTTGCTAATAGGTCGCACAATTATTACTTAATAAAGTTTTTCAGTCTCCTCATTTCTTCCAAAATAAGCTCAAATCCCTCAGCTGCCAATAAGAAACTTTGGTTCTTTCCTACTTTTAAAATTCATCCTAAAATTTAACACAAACCGCTTCTGGTTGTCTGAATGTAACGTATGTTTTGTTCTCTTTAGTCCTATGCTTTTTTACCATATTGGATACTTAGACCCACTTTGATAACTCAGCTAAAATACTATCTCTTTGGTAAATAATTTCTTTTATTTTTTTCTTTTTCTTTTCTTTTCTTTCTTTCTTTTTTTTTTTTTTTTTGGAGACAGAGACTTGCTCTGTGGCCAGGCTGGAGTACAGTGACGTGATTTCAGCTCACTGCAACCTCCACCTCCCAGGTTCAAGCAATTCCCCTGCCTCAGCCTCCCAAGTACCTGGGACTACAGGTGTGCGCTACCATGCCCGGCTAATTATTGTATTTTTAGTAGAGATGGGGTTTCACCATGTTGGCCAGGATGGTCTCGATCTCGTGACCTCGTGATCTGCCCGCCTTGGCCTCCCAAAGTGCTGGGATTACAGGAGTGAGCCACTGCGCCCAGTCAGAATTTCTTAATTGCTTTCTCTTGACTCCCCTGCACAGTTACTTGCTCATTCTTCAGTGTTCTCATGGCACTTTATACATACATTCATTAACACCTTCCACATTGTGTTGTTATGATTTGTTTATAGTTTGACCTCCCTTCTAGACTGTGACTCATTGAGGGCCAGCTCTAGACTAAGACACTGTTTCTCTCCCAAGCCAACCTAAGCCTTTGTACATGGTACGCATTTAATATTTGCTGATTATGTTAATAAAGGACTGAATTAATCTCCATGGTTATTATTTCAAAACATGCTGTCAGAATATGCATCCACATGTACTGTCCTAAAAATAAAAAAATTCAAAAGGACATGGTACCTAATGTCTTGTATTTTATAGGTTGTTCCACATGGAATTTAAAACAACTCTATGCAGGAATATTACTTGTTAGGTCTCCTAAATTTAGACTCATTTTAAGAATTATAATTTTCTTTCCTTTTTTCCGGAAAAGCTTCTGTTACTTCAAACTGAAGCAGAGCCAAAAGGCAAGAGGAGGTCTAAGGTCTACTTGTCTGTATTTACTTGGTCTAAAATAGCATTGGACTTTTGTTATATGTGGTTTTCATATGATTTAGGAAAGAAAAAAAAGCTTTAACCTGCTGCTTTGTTTGAACAGTGATGGCAAAAACTAAAAATAACGCAAGATTCCAAATGTGTGTATGGAAATTAAAACACAATTTTGAGCAATTGCTGTAAAAACTTCCACTCTCTATATACACCTTTAGACTTAGCTGGAGCCAGATCTGCCCACAAAGGAGACATTTAACTGATAGGCCCTTTTTATGAAAGGCCTTTTCCAGGGGCCACATCTTGGGGGGTTTGGGGAAGGGAAGTGTGTGGTTCTGTCTAAGTTTCATCCAGGACTTCTCTCCCCATCTGACCCTGGAAATTGCTGCAATTGTAGCTTCCTGTGGTATGCAGTAAAAAAAAAAAAAAAAAAAACTAAATCAGAAATGGTAGAAAACACCAAGTAAAGGGAGTTTCTAAGCTTCTTATGCTGGAGCTATGTATTCACAAGCAATATAACATAATTCTAACTTGTACCAGGCATCGACCTTTCAAATTTTTCTCTAAATGAGCTTTGAACATAGCTTGCCATCAGGAGCTACTACTGGTGATATATATTTTTATAGTTCATTTTTTTAAAAAGTAAGAGAAGAAAACTACATTTATTAGAAATGTATTAGATATTAGAAAATATCTCTCCTAAGGCAATATTTGAGATAAGAGGGAGGAGAACAACAGTGTGAATGGGAGGTCCCTGGCAAGTGAAGCAGTTCGAATAGATTGCCATAAAAAGAAAGGTCATAGTGATTCAGTCAACTAAGTAGACCTGAACTAAGAATACCACAGAACTGCCTGTCGGACTAAGATGGCTTTGATGGAAAATGACAAATGAGATTGACAGGGGCATCTGAACCCTTGCAGCTGTTTCATTTCAGGCATTCTTCTCCAGGATGGCTACCACATGGATTTAAGAAGCTGCAGACAGCAGTCATTTAAGGAAATGGAAACCATGTCAAAATCATGTTAGAATGTAATCTGGAGTAGACTGTCAGTTTGGTCAGAATATGCAGATATCAGCCATCTCACCATCTTAGTTGGTTCCTGTTATCTCAGTTGGTCTTCCCTAATGTCCTTTACTCTCTAGTTCACTCCTTACCTGCACCTAAAGGTAGTTCCTATATTCAGGCTGTTTAAATGTCTTATTTGTTTAAAATCCTGGATTTACGTAAAGCAGTGTAGTATAATTTTAAAATCATAAGTGGTAGAGTCAAAATGTTTTATTTTTAATTGACAAAAAATTATATATAATATGTTGTTTTGAAATATGTATACATCATGAAATGGCAAAATTGAGCTAATTAGCATATGTATTACCTCACATAATTATTATTTTTGTGGTGAGAACACTTGATATCTATTCTCCTGACAACTTTTCAAGAATATCATACATTGTTATTGCCTATTGTCACCATGCTGTAGAGTGGATCTCTTGAACTTATTCCTCCTAGCTAACTGAAATTTTGTATCTTTGACCAACATTTCCCCAATTTCCCTCCCTAACAGCCCCAGGTAACCACCATTCTACTCTCTACTTCTGTGAGTTCAACTTTTTATACTTCATGTATAAGTGAGATCATGCAGTATGTCTTTCTGTGCCTGGATTATTTTACTTAACATAACGTCCTCCAGGTTCATTCATGTTGTCCCAAAGGACAGGATTTCCATCTTTATTAAGGCTGAAGAGTATTCCATTGTGTTTATGTAATAGATTTGATTTACCTATTTATCTATTGATATACATTTAGGTTGATTTCATATCTTGGCTATTGTGAACAATGCTGAAATGAACATGGGAGTTTAGATATCTCTTGGATTTAATGATTTAATTTCCTTTAATTATATACACAGTAGTGAGATTGCTGGATCATATGATATTCCTGTTAAGATTCTTTGAGGAAACTCCATACTGTTTCATACTGTTTTCCATAGTAGTAGTATTACTTTATATTCCTACCAACAGTGTTTAAGGTATCCTTTTCCTCCATATCCTCTCCAACACTTTTTTCTTTTTCTTTTTTGTAATATTCATTATAACATATGTAAGTGGATATCTCAATTTGGTTTTAATTTGCATTTCTCTAATGATTAAAGATGTTGAGCATTTTTAAATATACCTGTTGGCTATTTGTATGTCTTCTTTTGAGAAATGTTAATTTAGATATTTTGCCCATTTTTACATTGGGTTATTTATTTTCTTACCATTGAGCTGTTTGCGTTGGCACAATTATACCTCATTGGAGCTTCAAACTCCTGGGCTCAAGCAATCCTCCCATCTCAGCCTCTTGAGTAGCTGAGGCTAGAGACACCCGGCTATTTTTTTTATTTTTATTTTTATTTTTGTAGAGACAAGGCTCTTCCTATGTTGCCCAGGCTGGTCTTGAACTCCTAGGTTCAAGTGCCCTACCACCTTGGCCTCCCAAAGTGCTGGGAGTAAAGGTGTGAGCCACCACACCTTATATTAAAGCCTTATCATATGTATGGTATGGAGATACTTTCTTCTATTCTGTAGGTTGCCTCTTCACTCTGTTGATTATTTTGTTGACTGTGCAGAAGATTTTTTAAGTTTGATGTAATCTCATTTTTTTTTCTATTGTTGTCTATGCTTTTGAGTTCTTATTAAAAAATTATTGCCTAGATCAATGTTGTGGAGTTTTTCTCCTATGTTTTATTCTGCTAGTTTTATGGATTCAAGTCTTACATTTAAGTCTTCAATCTATTTTTAGTGGACTTCTGTATATGATGTGAGATAAAGTTCTAGTTTCATTCTTTTGCATGCAGATATACCAACACCAGTCAATGAAGGGACTATCCTTTCTCCACGTGTTCTTGCTGCCTTTTTTGAAGATCAATGGGCCATAAATGTATTAATTAATTAATTTATTTCTCTCTATTTTGTTCCATTAGTCTATGTGTCTGTTTTTATGCCAGTACTATGCTGTTTTGATTACTATAGCTTTGCAGCATATTTTGAAGTCAGGTATTGTGATGCCTCAAACTTTGTTCTTACTGTTTAAGATTGCTTTGGTTTTTGGAGTCTTGTATGGTTCCATACAAATTTTAGAATTTTGTTCTTATGTATTTTTTGTGTTTTTTATACAGGAAATTATTTTCTTGATTTCTCTTTCAGATACTTCCTTGTTAGTCAATTGAAACACTACTGATTTCATATGTTGATTTTGAATCCTGCAACTTTACTGAAATTATTTAATAGTTCTAATAGTTTTTGGTGGAGTTTGTAGGGTTTCCATACATAGGACATTCAATTTTTGTTTTATTTTATGTGCAGAACGTGCAGGTTTGTTACGTAGGTATACTTGTGGTATGGTAGTTTGCTGCACCTATCAGCCCATGCTCTAAGTTCCCTCCCCTCAATCCCCATCCCCCAATAGGCCCTGGTGTGTGTTTTTCCTCTCTCTGTGCCCATATGTTCTCAATGTTCAACTCTCACTTATGAGTGAGAAAATGAGGTGTTTGGTTTTCTGCTACTATGTTAGTTTGCTGAGGATGATGGCTTCAAGCTTCATCTATGTCCCTGCAGAAAACATGATCTCATTTCCTTTTATGGCTGCATAATATTCCATGATGTATATATACCACATCTTCTTTTCTTTTTTTTTTTTATTTTTATTTTTAGAGGGAGTCCTGCTCTGTCACCCAGGGTGGAGTGCAGTGGTGTGATCTCGGCTCACAGCAACCTCCACCTCCCCGGTTCAAGTGATTCTCCTGCCTCAGCTCCCTGAGTAGCTGGGATTACAGGCACACACCACCATGCCCAGCTAATTTTTTTTTTTTGTACTTTTAGTAGAGATGGTGTTGTGCCATGTTGGCCAGGCAGGTCTCAAACTCCTGACCTCAGATGATCCACCTCCCTCGGCCTCCCAAAGTGCTGGGATTACAGGCGTGAGCCACTGTACTCAGCCACCACATTTTCTTTATCCAGTCTATAATTCACGGGCATTTGGGTTGGTTCCATGTCTTTGCTATTGTAAATAGAGCTGCAGTAAACATACGTGTGCATGTGTCTTTATAGTAGAATGATTTATATTCCTTTGGGTATATACCCAGTAATGGGATTGCTGGGTCAAATGGTATTTCTGGTTCTAGATCCTTGAGGAATTGCCACACTGTCTTCCACAAGGGTTGAGCTAATTTACATTCCTACCAACAGTGTAAAAACATTCCTATTTCTCTACAGGCTTGCTAACATCTATTGTTTCCTGACTTTTTAATAATCGCCATTCTGACTGGTGTGAGAAGGCATCTCAATGTGTTTTTGATTTGCATTTTGATTTAATGATCAGTGGTGTTGAGATTTCTTTCATATGTTTGTTGGCAGTGTAAATGTCTTCTTTTGAGAAGTGTCTGTTCATATCATTCTCCCACTTTTTAATGGGGTTGTTTGTTTTTTTCTTGTAAATATGTTTAAGTTCCTTGTAAATTCTGGATATTAGCCCTTTGTCGGATGGATAGATTGCAAAAATTTTCTCCTATTCTGTTAGGTTGCCTGTTCACTCTGATGATAGTTTCTTTTGCTGTGCAGAAGCTCTTTAGTTTAATTAGATCCCATTTGTCAATTCTGGCTTCTGTTGCCATTGCTTTTGGTGTTTTAGCCATGAGGTATTTGCCCATGCTTATGTCCTGAATGGTATTGCCTAGGGTTTTTTCTAGAGTTTTTACGGTTTTGGGTCTTACGTTTAAGTCTTTATTCCATCTCGAGTTAATTTTTATGTAAGGTGTAAGGAAGGGGTCCAGTTTCAGTTTTCTGCATATGGCTAGCCAGTTTTCCCAACACCATTGATTAAATAGGGAATCGTTTCTCCATTGCTTGTTTTTGTTAGGTTTTTCAAAGACTAGATGGTTGTAGATGTGTGGTGTTATCTCTGAGGTCTCTGTTCTGTTCCATGGTTCTATATGTGTGTTTTGGTACCAGTACTATGCTGTTTTGGTTACTGTAGGCTTGTAGTATAGTTTGAAGTCAGGTAGTGTAATGCCTCCAGCTTTGTTCTTTTTGCTTAGGATTGTCTTGGCTGTATCAGGTCTTCATTGATTCCACATGAAATTTAAAATAGTGTTTTTCTAATTATGTAAAGAATGTCAATTTTAGTTTGATGGTAATAGCATTTAATCTGTAAATTACTTTGGGGAGTATGGCCATTTTCATGATATTGTTTCGTCCTATCCATGAGGATGAAAGGTTTTTCCATTTGTTTGTGACCTCTCTTTTTCCTTTGAGCAGTGGTTAATAGTTCTCCTTGAAGAGGTCCCTCACATTCTTCGTTAGCTGTATTCCTAGGTATTTTATTTTCTTTGTAGCAATTGTGAATAGGAGTTCATTCATGATTTGGCTCTCTGCTTGCCTGTTGTTGGTGTAAAGGAATGCTTGTGATTTTTGCACATCAATTTTGTATCGTCAGACTTTGCTGAATTTGCTTATCAGTTCAAGAAGTTTTTGCACTGAGATGATGGGGTTTTCTAAATATAAAATTGTGTCATCTGCAGAGACAACTTGACTTCCTCTCTTCCCATTTGAATGCCCTTTATTTCTGTTTCTTGCCTGATTGCCCTGGCCAGAACTTCCAATATTATGTTGAATAGGAGTGATGAGAGAGGGCATCCTTGTCTTGAACCAGTTTTCAAAGGGAATGCTTCCAGCTTTTGCCCATCCAATATGATATTGGCTGTGAGTTTGTCATAAATAGCTCTTATTATTTTTAGACATGTTCCATCATGTTTATTGAGAGTTTTTAACATGAAGGATGCTGAATTTTATCAAAGGCCTTTTCTCCATCTATTGAGATAATTATGTGGTTTTTGTCTTTGGTTCCATTTATGTGATGGATTACATTTATTGATTTATGTGTGTTGAACCAGCCTTGCCTCTCAGGGATTAAGCCGACTTGATTGTGAAGCTTTTTGATGTGCTGCTGGATTCGGTTTTCCAGTATTTTATTGAAGATTTTTGCATCGATGTTCATCAGGGATATTGGCTGAAGTTTTCTTTTTTTTATTGTGTCTCTTCCCAGTTTTGGTATCAGGATGATTATGGCTTCATAAAATGAATCAGAGAGGAGTCCCTCCTTTTCAATTTTTTGGAACAGTTTCAGATGGAATGGTACCAGCTCCTCTTTGTATTTCTGGTAGAATTTAGCTGTGAATCCATCTGGTCCTGGGCTTTTTTGTGTTGGTAGACTATTAATTACTGCTCAATTTCAGAGCTTGTTACTGGTCTATTCAGGGATTCGACATCTTCCTGGTTTAGTCTTGGTAGAGCGTATCTTTCCAGGAATTTATCAATTTCTTGCGGATTTTCTAGTTTATTTGCGTAGAGGTGTTCATGGTATTCTCTGACGGTAGTTTGTATTTTTCTGGGGTAGTGGTGATATCCTCTTTATCATTTTTATTGTGTCTATTTAATTCTTCTCTCTCTTCTTCTTTATTGGTCTATCTAGTGGTCTATCTGTTTTGTGAATTTTTTCAAAAAGTCAGCTCCTGGATTAGTTGATTTTTTGAAGAAATTTTCATGTCTCTATATCCTTCAATTCTTCTCTGATCTTAGTTACTTCTTGTCTTCTGCTAGCTTTTGGATTAGTTTGCTCTTACCTCTCTAGCTCTTTTAATAGTGATATTAGGGTGTCAGTTTGAGATCTTTCTAGCTTTCTGATGTGGGGATTTAGTGCTATAAATTTCCCTCTAAACAGTGCTGTAGCTGTGTCTCAGATATTCTGGTATGTTATCTCTTTCTTCTCATTGGTTTCAAGGAACTTCTGATTTCTGCCTTAATTTCACTATTTACCTAGGAGTCATTAGTGAGCAGGTTGTTCAATTTCCATGAAATTTTGTGGTTTTGAGTGAGTTTCTTAATCCTGAGTTCTAATTTGATTGCACTGTGGCCTGAGAGAATGTTTGTTATGATTTCCATTTTTTTGCATTTGCTGAAGAGTGTTTTACTTCCAATTATGTGGTCAATTTTGGAATAAGTGTCATGTGGCACTGAGAAGAATGTATATTCTGTTGATTTGGGGTAGAGAGTTCTGTAGATGTCTACTTGGTCCACTTGATTTAGAGCTGAGTTCAAGTCCTGAATATCCTTGTTAATTTTCTGTCTCATTGATCTGTCTAATACCGACATTGGGTTGTTAAAGTCTCCCACTATTATTGTGTGGGAGTCTAAGTCTCTTTGTAGGTCTCTATAAACTTATTTTATGAATCTAGGTGCTCCTGTATTGTGTACATATATATTTATAATAGCTCTTCTTTTTGAATTGTTCCCTTTACTGTTATGTAATGCCCTTCTTTGTCTTTTTGATCTTTGTTGGTTTAGTCTGTTTTGTCACAGACTAGGATTGCAACCCCTGCTTTTTTTTGCTTTCCATTTGCTTGGTAAATATTCCTTCATCCCTTTATTTTGAGCCTGTTTGTGTCTTTGCATGTAAGATGGGCCTCCTGAATATAACACACCAATGGTACACAGTACCCACTTCATACTAAAGATGTAAGTGGGTACACAATACCATTATAGTATCAGAATATTTTGACTGTGACTGTGTACTTACTATTGACAGTTAGTTTTATAGTTTCTTATGTTTTTGGATTATCAGTTAGAGTCATTTGCTTTCAGCTTGAAGAGAACTCTTTAGCATTTTTCTAATACAGGTCTGTATTAGAGAAACTTCCTCAGCTTTTGTTTGTCTGAGAAAATCTTTATTTTTCCTTCATTTCTGAAGGACAGCTTTACCAGATACAGTATTCTTCGTTGCCAGTATTTTCCTTTAGCACTTAGAATATAACCACTCTCTCCTTGTCTGCAATGTTTCTGCTGAGAAATCTGCTGTTAGGTTTATCAGAGCCCCTTATATGTTATGTAACTCTTTTCTCTTGCTTCTTTTAGGGTGCTCTCTTTGTCTTTGACTTTTGATGGTTTGATTATATCTTGGTTTAGTCTTGTTTGGATTGAACGTGACTGGACATCTTTGACCTTCCTTTACCAGAACATTTGTATCTTTCCTCAGATTTGGAAAGTTTTCAGCTATTATGTCTTTTTATTTTTATTTTTGTTTGAGACGGAGTCTCACTCTGTTGCCCAGCCTGGAGTGCAGTGGCATGATCTCGGCTCACTGCAACCACTGCCTCCCAGGTTCAAGCAATCACCTTCCTTAGCCTCCCAACTAGCTGGGAATACAAGCACACACCATCACCTGTTTCTAATTGTGGTATTTGTGGTAGAGACAAGGTTTCAATATGTTGGCAAGGCTGGTCTTGAACACCTGACCTCAAATGATTTACCTGCCTTGGCCTCTGAAAGTGCTGAGGTTACAGGCATGAGCCACCATGCCCAGTCTCAGTTATTATGCCTTTAAGCAAGCTTTCTATTCCTTTGTTTTTCTCTTCTCCTTTGTGAACTGCTATGACTTGAACATTTGCTCTTTTAATGCTGTTCCATACATCTGTCTTTACTTCTTTTTCATTCTTTTCCCTTTCTGACTGTATATTTTCAAGTAACCTGTCTTTGAGTTCACAGAATCTTTCTTCTCCTTAATCAATTCACTGTTAATGCTCTCAATTGCATTTTTTATTTCATGCCCAGCCTCTGTTATTATGTCTTTGAGTAAGCTTTCTATTCCTTTATTTTTCTCTTCTTTGTGAACTGCTATGACCTGAACGTTTGCTCTTTTAATGCTGTTCCACACATCTATCTTTATTTCTTTTTCATTCTTTTTCTTCTTTAACTGTATATTTACAAGTAACCTGTCTTTGAGTTCACAGAATCTTTCTTCTGCTTAGTCAATTCACTGTTAATGCTCTCGATTGCATTTTTCATTACATTTATTATATTTTTCAGTTCTAGAATTTTGATTTTTAAAAATAATTTCAATATCTGATAAATTTCTCACTTTGGTCATTCATTGTCTTTCTAATTTTATTGAGTAGTTTATTTTTATTTTCTTTAAGTTTTCTGAGCTTCTTTAAAATAATTTTTCAAGTTGTCAGACCATTTGTATATCTGTATCTCTTTGGGATCAGCTACTGTGAGATTGTTATGTTTTTTCAGTGGTATGCGTCCTAATTTTTTATGTCTCTTGTTGCCTTACAGTAATGAGTACACATTTGAAGAAGTAGGGATTTATTTCAGTTTTTGAAGACTGGTTTTGCCTGAGAAAGGCTTTCACTAGTCAGCCTGTCCAGGGATTCTGGGCAAGTTGTATGGCATGTTTCAAGATTGGGACTGCTCTTGAATTCGTTGAACAGATTAGTGAGAAGTCTGGGACAGCTGGAGAGCAAGCTGAATTCCAGTGTCACTGAGCTTAGCTTGGCACTGGGTTAAACCCAAAATCTGGGGCTACTGCAGTTGGCCTGGTGTTGGGATGGGCCTGGAGACCAAGATTTCAAGGCTTGCCTGGAGCCAGGGCTTATGGGATCTGGCCTGGGGCTGGGTGGGCTTGGAGACTAAGACTGTGGATACTGGCCTAAAGTTTGAGGCTGTAGGAGCCTAATCAGCACTGGGTTTTACTGGATTGGGCCTGGCATTGGAATGCAGGGCAAAGTCTGGTACTCCTTTCTTTCTGAGCTATGCTGCCTGTGGTTGGGAGGGGGTGATGTGGGTAATGTAAAACTATCTTTTCTGCCCTATTTAATGCATCTTTTCTTATTTCGGTGCTACACCTAGGTGCTGTAATCTCTAACCTGTTTTCCTTAGCTCTTGTGAAGGTATTTTTTGTGTATGGATAGTTGTTCAGATTGATGTTGCTATGCGGGAATGAATGCTAGAGAGTCCTATTCTGCTATCTTCTCAAAATGTTTTAATCATGGCTTTGCCCATTTTCTAGCTTTGTGGCTGAGGGAAAGAATCTTGCATTTTTGAGACTCACTTACCGCGTCTATAATTGGGAATACAAATAATAATCCATAATTTACAGAATTATTAGAAAACAAACTAGATGACATATGTAAGCTAG